>NC_000002.12:193550224-193853254 GCF_000001405.40 Homo sapiens
AAGTAGCCAGGTGTGGTGGCACATGCCTGTAATCCCAGCTACTCTGGAGGCTGAGGCAGGAGAATTGTTTGACCCTGGGAAGTGGACATTGCAGTGAGCTGAGACTGTGCCATTGCACTCAGCCTGGGCAACAAGAGCAAAACTCTGAAAAGAAAGAAAGAAACAAAGAACAAATGAATGAACAACAGAAAGAAAGAGAGAGAGAGAGAGAAAGAAAGAGAGAGAGATAGAGAAAGAAAGAGAGAGAAAAAGAAAGAAAGAAAGAAAGAAAAAGAAAGAAAGAAAACTAAGGAATGCCACATTGTCCAAGGTCTTTGATGAAATGATGATCAAGAGAGAAAAGAAGAATATTAATACATAGAAATTAATTATACTTTTGTTAGCTTTAGGAAGATAAGACTAAGAAAAGAATTACAAGGATGAGAAAACTATGATTCTGTTGCATAGCTGTGCATATTCACAAACAAGGAAGGGAATGCCGGTTTGATTTTCATTTCGGCTTCTCGGCTTCTCATTTTAAGGAAGTAAGCTAAAAATCTCAAATGAAAGTGTTTTGGAAAATTAATGTTCTACATTAACTTGATTTGCACTGTTGTCCTTTTTATTTAAGAATTTCACTACCTACCCAAAACAGAAAAGTAGAAATGTGAAAGGCAACATATGATTCATGATCATAAGAGGAAATCATGAGATGGGACTTCAGGAACAGTGGAGTGACAATGTCTGTAATTTTGCTGCTCTATAAGGGCAACAGAAACACTAGGAAAATTTTTCAAAGTCAGTGTTTATAGAACTTTGAAAACTCACCTAAGACTTGAAAAAATAAAGGAGTATTTATTCAATAAAAACTGCTGAACCTCCAAAATAATAGTAGAATTTGTCACACTATAACTAGTATTTTCTCTTCCATTCCCACATCCAGCTCTATAGTGCCCTTGAAAACCAGTAGACTTGCAACCAAGGTAGTTGTAAAAAACACCTGTCTTCCAACTTGCACAGGGAGAAGACAGGGTTGGGATGTCCTCTACAGAACATTGTGACTTTTTGACATGTATTTCAGCTTCTGTAAAAATCTTCATAAACAGCATTGCTTTTATTTGATCTGATGCTGAGCCCAATTCCCTTAGGACATTTGTTGAAAACAATTAATGGCAACTGCTTAACTTCACAGTTGCTTGAGATTGCAATATCATTAATGAAGAAAACAGCCTTATCAAAAATTTAAGAGAAAAATCTGGAGTACAGGATGTCCATAGTTGGCTTTAAAAAGCTCTAACATGATTCTTGAGATCCAGAAGGATTTGCACATGTGCAGGCCTGTGTGAATGTCCAAGAAATTCCTGAGGCGGCCCCAATCTCTAAACTCTGGCTGATTTTAAGGACCTGAGCAAGTAGAAAGTAAATGATAAGATAGATTTATAGACTGCTGGAGTGTTGAAGCTGTGTCCAAATACACAGTCCCACATCCCCCTACGAAGGATGGAAGACACACTGGATAAAGGTATTTAAGGAACTCTCTGGTAAGCATTAGCTGACCATTTCACTACCTGAGCAGAAACCCTCAGGATATATAGACCTTAGAAAATTAGAAGAGGAAAGTTATTAAACAAACAGTGACACCACAGATTAATCCTTAAAACAGCAACACCAGCAAATCTTGAGGTGAAGTATATATTTGTTTTATTTTTATGGTTGTTACAATATATTATCTAAAATATCCAATTTTTAACAGAAAATTACGAGACATAAAAATAAACAGAAAAATATGGCTTATATACAGGAAAAAGGTAGTCAATTGAAACTTTTTTTTAGGAGCTTAGATGTTGGATTTATTATAGAAAGACTTTAAAATGGCTATTATAAATATGTTCCAAGACTAAAAGAAAAAAAATCTAAAGAATTTAAAAACTAGATGACAGCAATGTCTCACTGAAAAAAGAATATTAAAGAATATTAATAAAGGGATAGAAATTATAAAAAAGAGCTAAATGGAAATTCTGAAGTTTAAAGGTACAAAAACTGAAATGAAAATTTCACTAGATGGTCTCAAAAGTAGATTTGAACTGTCAGAGAAAATATCAGTTAGCTATTTTGCAATAGGTCAATTAAAATTATACATTCTTAGGAAGAGAAATTTTTTAAAAAAATTAAAAAATAACAGATTTTGATGTTCATTCTCTTCAGGGAATGGCAGGGCACCATTTAACATACCAACATACTCATAGTGCAATCCCAGAAGGAGAGGGAAGAGAGAGAAAATCACAAGGAACACTTGAAAAAATCATGACCAATACTTTCTATATTTTGAGTAGTTAAAAAATTGTGGTGCACACATGCACACATACCCACACACACAAACACTGTAATACTATTCAGCCATACAAAATAATTAAATCTTGTCTTTTGCAGCAACATGGGTGGAACTGTATTTTGAGTGAAACAACTTAGAATTAGACAGTCAAATACCACATGTTCTCACTTTGCAGTGGGAGCCAAATAAAGTGGACACATGGATATAGAGTATGGAATCATAGTATTAGAGACTGGGAAATGCAGGAGAGTGGGAGGGGATGAGGGATGAGATATAACTTAATGGGTACAATATATACTATTCCACTGATACTTATACTGAAAGCCTAGATTTCACCACCACAAAATATATCCATGTAACAAAACTGCACTTGTACCTTCTAAATTTATACAAATAAAAAACATTTAAAAATAAGCAAATAATTTGGATAAACATATCATCAGAGATGATAAACAAATGGCCAATAATCACATGTAAATATGTTCAATATCTTTAGTCATTAAAGAAAGAAAAGCAACACCACAGAGCAATGTCACCTGACACTCACTAAAATAGCCAAAATAAAAAAAAGATGGTAACTTTCACACATTGCCAGTGGAAATGTAATATAGTGCAATCTATTTCAAAAACTGTGTGGCAATCCTCAAAATGTTAAACATAGAGTTACCTTACAACCCAGCAATTCCACATATAGATATGTGCTCCCCCAAAATAAAGAAGATATATGTCCACATAAATATTTGTTCAGAAATGCTGTTAGCAGCATTGTTGGTAATAGCCAAAAATGGAAACAACACAAATTTGTATCAGCTGAATAAACAAAGATGAGTTGTATCACATATGAAATATTAGTTATCAAAATTAAAGTAATTATATTTGCCTCAAAATTGAAAATTGTATATGAAGTGAAATAATACAGTCACAAAAGAGTATATATTGTTTGATTATATTTATTTGAAATGTGAAGATTTGGAAATCCCATAGAGACATAAAGTAGATTGGTATTTGCCTAGAATTGTGGTTGGGAATAATGAGTGTACTACTCATGGTTTCAGGGGTTTCACTTAGAGATAATAAAAGTGTTCTAAAATTAAATTGTATTGATGGTTATGTAACTTTGTAAACACAACAAAGTCAGTTTATTGTAAACTTTGAAAGGTTAATTTTCTGTTATGTGAATTATATCTTAATAAAGCTATTTTTAAAAAGTATCAGGCTGGGGGTGGTGGTTCATGCTTATAATCCCAACACTTTGGGAGGTCACGGCAGGAGGATTGCTTGGGGCTGGAAAATATAGCGACACCCCATCTCTACAAAAATTAAAAAAAAAATTGTCCAGGTGTGGTGGTGCATGTCTATATCGCAGCTACTTTTGAGGCTGAGGCGGGAGGATCACTTGAGCCCAGGAGTTGAATGCGGCAGTGAGCTATGATCACACCACTGCACTCCAGCCTGGGTGACAGATTGAGACCCTGTCTTCAAAAAAAAAAAAAAAAAAAAGTCAAATGTACTTGGTAATTAAAATAGTTACATAATAATGGTTACACAAATAGTAATTACAGTTTTGAAGAAAAATAATTCTAGTTTATAGACTTTGATTTTTTTTTTGTTTTTTGAGACAGGATCTCTCTCTGTTACCCAGCCTTGAGTGCAGTGCCCTGATTACAGCTCAGCTCACTGCAGCCTCGATCTCCTGTGCTCAAATGATCCTTCCACCTCAGCCTCCTGAGTATCTGGGACCACAGGTGCATGCCACCACATCCAGTTATTTTATTTTTTTATATTTTGTAGAGACAGGGTTTCACCATGTTGCCCAGGCTGGTCCTGAACTCCTGAGCTAAAGCAACCTGCCTGCCTCAGCCTCCCAAAGTGCTGGGATTACAGGCATGAGCCACTGTGGCCTGCCTGAGTTATCTTTTTTTACAAAAAATATTTTGGCATATACTCAAAATCTGGAAAAAATATATTCTTTAGCAGACATATTTTAGAATTAGCTTATCCTCAAGCATTCATTGCTTTTTGCCAGTATGTTGATGAGTACTCCCATTAGGGAATAAGAACGTTAGGTCACATTAATGATTTATTTTCTAAAAAAATTAGTAAGAATTTTTTTGAAATATATATGCAATTTAAAACACTTATCAAATCTGCTTATATGCCATAATTTTTTTCTTAAGGGGCACCAATGTTGATTATAGAGAAATGAAATTCTGACTTGTACTAAAATAGATTGATCATATGGTAAATTATAATTTTATAACTCTTATTGTTGATATACAATAATAATGTATAAATCCCACATCAATTTAGCACATGTTTATTATAATAAATTTACATTTTTGAAGCTGTTTTTTATAAAAGCTTCTGATAATATTTTACAAATGACAATTAAATTTTTAAAACATGTTAAAAAGCATTTTTGTGTCATTGATTTAATGTAATTATATTTTTGTCTGTCCATGAAATATATGATTTTAAACAAAATGTATGGCACTTTTTAACATCTAAGAAAACTTACTTTGGATTTTTATTTATAGAACATTTACTTTTTTTCAAAAACAAAGGTGAGATAAGAAATAATTCTTTTAATATCATAAAGTATTTTTTATTCCAAATACCTTTCTCATTTGATAATGTATCTATAGCAGAGATATCTAACTCATGTGAAGATTTGTAAGTGTGTCCCTAAGATGGCATGTTCTCTGCCCTTTTGGCAAGTAGTGGGACTGAGTGGGTGTTGAGTTTTTCATGGGGTTCCACCAAAAACAACCCTCTGTTTTTATCCATTGAACTATTTAAATATTATCATTTTTAATGAATGATATAGAAACTATTAGGATGATGATACATTAAGATAGGATATTAACATATAAATCATCATATCCAAAATATCAGGATATGATGATAACATATAAACACACACAAACACACACAATTTGCATTTTAAGACAAAACTCTTGGTCGTCTATTGTATACAATCTTTCTATTGAAACTGACATTCACATTTTTACTAAATATTTTATTTTCTTGTGTGGTACATAAAAACTATATTCTATACATCTACTAGAGGTAAAAACATAAGGGTATATTTATAGAAAAATAAAGATTATATTTGTTAACAAAGGATTATATACAACATGCATTTGTACTGTTATATAGTTCAGAAATATATATTTATATCCAATTTATACACTGGGGTCACATTTCATAAATTGTGATTATAATGCTTTTAAACATTAACAAAATGTTTCAATATCAAATTATGCTCAGGATTTGAAATAATGAAAAAACATTTTCTGAATAATAGTTCATTTCACAACTGTTAATCCAAATGAAATATAATCTGTACTCATGTTCTTCACACATATATTTAAACTATAAAAAGAAATACCTGTTAGCCTTTGTTAGGGTTAATCCTGAATTGAACATATGTTGAACAACATGGTAGCAATAGGAAATGATCCTTTACAAAAAACAACATGATTTTCTTGAACAAGCTATATACAATTAGCAATAAGCAATGTGTGTATATATATGTGTGTGTGTGTGTGTATATACATATGTGTATATACATATATGTGTGTATATATACACATAAGTATATATACACATATATACATATATATGTATAAGTATATATGCATATATGTGTATGTGTGTGTGTATATATATACACATATATATACACACATATATATACACATTGCTTATTGCTAATTGTATATAGCTTGTTCAAGAAAATCATATTGTTTCTACATGATTTTATATATATATGTAAATATACATATATAAGTATATATGTATATATATGTATATATACACATTGTTCATATATATATATATATATATATTTTTTTTTTTTACCATTTTTCCTTAAATTCCCTTTTGTCTTACTCTTTCCCAGGCCCTACCTCCTTCTGAAAATACATTTCTTAAGTACTGTACTATGAAGCAAATACTACATGAAGACTAAACAACGGTTATATTAATATGATTCTGAAATCAGGTGAAGTTACTAACCAAGAATGAAATAAACCTACCAGAAATAAAAAATAGTGCAAAAAATCTTTTAAGAAACTTGGTTAAATAATATTATTTTAAGGAAAACAGGCACAGTTGTAAAGCTTCAGCAATGTTTTAAAAAAGTGTTAACATTTCTTTATTGTCTCTTTATTATTTCTCCCACTGTTTGCACCTCAGCCTCCTTAAAAGTAGCAATTCTATCTAGGCTTTAATTTGCTGTATACAGATAAATATATATGATTAACAACAATATTATTGGGCTAGAATAACCCCTGTTTTCTCTTTAATCTAAAAATCCACTGACTGACGTGAACAATAGCAACAGAGAAAAATCAGTTGGCCTATGAACCTTTGCAACCAGGATCTGCATTGTGAATGCTGTGTAGTGTGTGTCATTTCAAATGAAGCCTATCTGGTTAGATGATTCATGACCCCCATTTGCAAATCAGACAGCAGTGGCTGGAATATGTGAAAGGTTATTCTTGGTCTCTAATTTGTAGCTGTGTAAAGTGAAAGCCATTGTTTTGTTTTTCTTCCAAGCAAAAGAGTTTATTAGAGAAAGTACAATTATTACAATGCCTATAATTAGGGGTATAAGTAATACACATATTAGAATGATTCACAATGCATTAGCTTTGTTTAATTCTGATTTTGTGGGAAGAAATTTTAAGTAGAACCCAACAAGTTGGAAAACTGACAGGTATGGGGGAGTTAGGAGCTGATTAGCTTTTAGATCATTGTGTCAAGAATATGATTCATATGGGAAAAATGGAAATTTGCTTCAGTTACATAGAGGAAGGCCAATGCAAAAATTTAGGTGAAATACATCATTTTATAAGATGTTGATCATTGATATACCACTCCAAAGAAAGTTTCATAAGTTTTGACATTGTTCATTTAAAAATACAGATTTATTATATTTTATGTAATTGATATAATGTATAGCTCATTATAATATGCCAAATTTTGTCTACATGTATCAAAGATTAAATATAAATAATAAAATTTAGTCTTAATATAATTAAATTAAATGTTATTTATGTGTATATATACACTTAAACTCATATACTGCTATACCCATTTTGGTCTATGAATTATATATACATATATGATACATTATATATAATATATGCATTACATATAATATATAAAATATGTAGTATATATGTACTGTGCTAAGCATGTGTTGAATGGTTTATATGTAATGGTATATATATATACACACAGAGAGAGAGCTATTTATTTTTTCTAAGTTCCAAACAGAAAGTTAAGAAAGATTTGTTGGAAGAGCATATTGCGTTTGAGTAAGAAAGATAGAATTGAATACTAAGACCTAAACTTTAAATAAAAACTATTAAAATATTCTGTTTTAGTTTAGTTTGGAGGGCCAATAAGACATTGTGGATTAAGGAAAGTTTAATTTTGGAGTTAAATCTCCTCGAATATGAATTCGAACACCGCATGTTGTATAACAATAGTAAAATTAACCTTTCTGAGTCTAAATTTATTCATCGATTAAGTGAATACTAGAATTACACTGTCATAAAGTTATTCTGAGGAATAAATGATAGAAAGTTTGTAAATGCATGCCAAAGTTCAAGGTACTAAATAAATACTAAGCACTAATAAATATTTAAGCACTGCATAAATCTTTACTGCCATTATTATAAACTTTTATTTCTTTAATTTTCTAATTAGAGTTAAATCAAGCAAGTATGCAGCGATAAAGTGACCAAATACTTATCAGGCTAAAGTTATGAATTGTGCTAAGCATGTTTTGAATGGTTTAGAATTTTTTTCATACAAGTAAAGCATATTTCTAATAACATTTTAAGTGCAAGAGACGTAGATTAATTTATTTAATAAGATTTTTAGCATCTTTTATATACTAGGCATAGTGTGAAATACTGAGGATAAAATAGTCATAAAAATAGTTCTTACCTTAATGGAGTTTATAATCTGGAATATCAGATATTAATCAAATAATTATAGAGTAAATGCAAATTTTTACGTGATGGAAATGTACGTGATATTTTCTTAATGATTAAGAATTTGACCAAGTCAGAGAGGTCAGCTAGGTTTCCAGGAAGATAATAATTACATTGCCGTTTTTTTTTACTTCTGGTTACAATAATTAATACTTAACATATGAAAAACTTTAAAGAATGTACAGAAAATTTCTCCTTATAATAGGTGAGGGCATTTTAGTTTACTTTGAAAAGCAAAATAAACTGTAACTTGTCAATAAAAATTAATATATACAGATAAACAGTGTTGTAGGAAATATACTTGGATATGACTTTTAAATGACAAAAACTCAGTTTTTCCGTCCATTTGTAACAGGTTTTTCTGTGAAGAATTTTCAATAAGTTCATTTATCATACAATTTAATCATTTTTAAATCGAAGTATTGCTTGGGTGCTCCATGAAATAAACCTGAATGTTTATATTTTATCCAGATTTTTAAAGAAATGGTTGTTATGAACATGATTTCATTTAAGGGAAGTGAGGTGATTGTAAAAGTAACTTACATGAGAAATGTTACCTATGTAATTATTTGCCTTCCCAATATATAAATTTGTAGCTATATACTGGACTATAATGAAATCATAAAACCAAATGGCATGCTGAGTTGCATACTACAGTGTATTGGCAGGCAGGGATGTGTTGTGTTTAAATATTTCTGTCCAGTGAAGATAGGCAAGCACTTTCTCTATCTCTGAAAGCCAACTATCCTCTTTCTCTGCAGAGAGAGGGCATGAATTTTGAATTCAAGACTTAAAGGAATATGATGCATTATTTTCTTTCTAAATTTCCTTCATAAGTAAACTTTAAAAATTCATAATGCTTCCTAATCTTTTTTAATAACTTCGCTGGATTTATATTAAGGAAATTAACCCTGATAAATGCTTACATTCCTCATGAGTATGTGCAACAAATATATATTTAAAAAGGACACACGTAAAGATGGGATAAAAACATAGTTATTATTATTCTCACTCCTTAAACTCAAGGATACCTAAAATGGGCAGTTTATGTGATTCGCCAGCATACAGCCTGAAAGAGAAAGTGTATTTTGTTACTTGGGATTGAGAGTCATTGGTCAAAATGATAAATGTGAAATGTGATAATAAACGTTCTTTCCCTCCTGCCCAATCCTTATGACCAACTGTGTCAACATCTCTATTCACTCTCAGTCAGTATGTAGCCAGTGAAAACACACGAATAAAACAGAACTAAATGAAAAAAATGGACTCCCTTATTTTTCTCCTTTATTAAAACTTCTTCTGGGGTGTTGGTGGAAGTAAAGGATAACATTTTTTTTTTCTCGGTAATTTGGAAGCACCTAAGAGTATTGTTTCAGCAGGATTTACAATTTAAATCCTCCTCAAACTTTATTAAAATGATGGACTCTACTTCTGGGAGTTGAGGTATAGACAGGTATGAAACAATAGAAATTGAATTCTTTAAAAAATACGCCTTCCCTGTTTGTTTTCTGCTTTGGTTTGGATTTAAAGGAGCTAGTACCTGATGCCTCTGTTTCACAGCAGAGTTTGGGATTAGGCAGATGAAAATGTATCACCATTTTATTGATAAACACCAGATTGGAGAATATGGTTTCAGGCTGTTAATGAAGTAGACTTGGGACAAGGCTACCAGGGAAGAAATTTTAGTTTCAGGGCAAATACAGTGGAATACGTGCCTCAAAATTGTCTGAAGTGAGAAAAACAGAAAGAGACTAAGTCCCTATTCTTAGATTCCATCAAGCTATAAATATGAATCAATGGTTATAATTCACCAAGTGTGTTATTCAGTACTTTTATTCTGTGGAGTTGTGTGAGAAATGGGCAATAGAAAAAGAATGCTGACATCAAACCCATCCTTAAGGACATCAACCTAATGACACCTCTCTCCTTTTGTTACAGACCCTAACTAGTACTTCCACATCCACTCTTATTTCTTTATGTGTAAAATTTTTTTTAAATAAAAATTAATCTAGGGATAATTTTAGATTTACAGAAAAGTTGCAAAGAAAGTGCAGAGAGTTCCTGAAGACACTTTAGTCACATTTTCCTAATATTAACAGTTTATAGAATGGTATATTTGTCAAAGCAAGGAGATTAACACTGGCATCATACTATTAACTAAACAAATGTTAGTCAGTTGTCACTGTTTTTCACTAACGTCCTTGTGTTGTTGTTCCAGCATCAAATACTTTTATATATTTGCTTAAAAAACAATTTTAAAATGTAGATTTTGTTATTATTTAGGTATGATGAGGCCAACATATCAAGGCCAACCAGAGACAATTGCCACTGAGAAGATAGTTCCTTACTCACACTTCCCAAGAGGAGTGTCCATTCCACAGCATGCAAGATCACAAGGAGAGGCACCAGGGTCAGTCAGGAAGCAGACGGAGCTAGGGAAAGCATTGCAAGATCCCTCATTGTTTAGAGGAAGAAATAAACAAGGCAGGATAAGCAGACTAAGCAGGTTTAGGTTAATTTGAATAATATCAGCAGGCTCTGGGGTGTGGAGTATCCCTCTAATTGTCTGGTACCTGGTCCTGGGGAATTAGGAAAATAAAATAGTGACCCAAATGTGAAAGTCCTGTAAGAACCTGATAAGAGATGTTTGAGCTATGAGCTTCAGATTTGTTGGTTTGCATATGGAAGGTGAACTCCTGAGTGAGTAAGCTAACCACAGAAGGGCAGTCCCTTTGACGTCAACAAGGCCCCAAGATGTCAGAATAAAGAGCATCGGGATAAAAAGGCATTCTTAATACAAATACAGACACCAAATTCCATTTAGCCCTCGTCTTTTTCACATTACAGCTAGAGTGCTATGAAACATAGTTTAAAAGGCACTCTTTGATCTATGTATAATCTGTCCCCTGCCTTCCTCACGAAACTTACCTTGCACATTTCCCCATATGGTTTTATTTGGACTTCAGCCACGCTGGCTGTGTTTTACTCCCTTGAAAATATTTGTTTTCTTTCTAATTTTGGATATTTATAAATAAAGTGATGTCTACTCCTGTGCACATGTACACAACACAATCTTGCTCTTTCTCTCATACACACACACACACACACACCCCCAAAGAACACACACATTGGGCTAACTTCTACCCTCCTTCAGCTACTAGCTTAAATGTTGATTCTATGAAGAGACCTCCCCTGGTCACCTGAGAAAGCCTTACCCTCTATTCATGTTGCCTTCACACTCTGCACATCTCCTATTGCCTTTACTGCAACTCTAATTGAAAAGACAAAGATGAAATTCAAGTTACCCCCATTCAATTTGCAAAAATTAAGAAGTCTGGCAACAGCAAGTATTGGAGAGAATGTGGGTCAACCATTCTACCATACATTGTTGGTGGGAGTGTAATTTGTCACAACCGTTCTGAAAAAAAAAAAAAGTATTATCTTGTAAAGTTGAATTTTCACATACTCTACAACCCAGAAATTTCACTTCAAAATATGTGTGTACATGTGTATGTGTGTGTGTATGTATAAAAAGACATGCACCAGGAGACAAGTATGACAATATTTTCAGTAGTACTATTTGTAGTAGCAAATTAATAGCAACAACTCCAATGCTCATTGACAGGAAACTTGATGAATAAATTGTAATATATTTGCACAAAAGAATATTTTGTGTATATCAGCAAAATTGAATGAACTGTATCCTGTATAACAATTTGAACAAATCTTAGTAACATTTTGTTGAAAGAAAAAAAGCAAGCCTCAGAAGATTGTGTACAGCATGATACCCTTTGTCATAAATTTTAATAAAAACTAAAACTAAAAATATATAAAAAAAGAAAAAACAAAATGTGTAATTAGTAGACTACAGCATGGTTCTTCTAAGATATTGTAAACTATGTCAAGGGCTACCTGTCTGGTTCTGCACTTTGCTCTCGGTATGCTGCATGGCTCTGTACATAGAACAGATGCATAACAATTTGTTCTTAAGGTGAATAAAGTTATATTAACATTAAAATTATTATCCTCACTAGGTTTCTTCTTAAATACAAATTTTCTTACATAATTTGTTGATGATTGTGTTAAATATTCTTAGCAATCTGCCATCTGTCCTAAATTTATCTATATCTCGTGTGTGTGTGTGTGTGTGTGTGTATCTCAATGTATTTATTTAATTATTGTGGAACCAGGGGAAACTGAGTTGCAGATATCATGACATGCTCTCTCCCAATATACTGCTTACCATGTTTTTAACCAGATTCCAAATAACATTCGTGCACTTGTTTGTTAAATTTCTGGATTCAATTTTGATCAATAAGAAGCCCCTGTCTTAGCTTGGGCTCTCCCAGAAATAGAACAGAAGATGATTCAAGCATAAGTAATTACTAGGAAAGTGAAGAAAACACAGGTAGGGAGTGAGGAAGTGAGAGAGGGAAGAAAAAGGCAGCCAATAAAGGGTAGATTGGCTTTGGGAGGCCAAGGTGGGTGGATCACCTGAGGTCAGGAGTTCAAGACCAGCCTGGCCAACATGGTGAAACCCAGTCTCTACTAAAAATACAAAAATTAGCTGGGCATAGTGGCGGGCTCCTGTAATCCCAGCTACTCGAAAGGCTGAGATAGGAAAATCTCTTGAACCTGGGATGCAGAGGTTGCAGTGAGCCAAGATTGCACCACTGCACTCCAGCCTGGGCAGCAAAGAGCAAGACTCCGTCTCAAAAACAAAGAAAACAACAACAAAAGGGGTACATTGGCATAACCGAGCCAGCTACTCTTTACTAAAAATTTACTCTTTAAATTTTTAAAGAGTAATTTAAAGGCACTGTGAGTGTCTGAACCTAATCTTTCCAGGGAAACTCTGGGAGCCACAGAAGAGAAAGCAAACACCTCTGAGTATCTTCTGTCTATTACCCAGATGGTAAGTAGGAGAGAATATTTTAATCTAACTGTAGTCAATTGTAGTTTGGGGACTTCTTCCCCAAACATTATTTCCCTGATACATCTTGTCACTGTCATGAAAAACAGCAAATTGTGCCTTGGTGGCAAGAAAAAGCTCTCGGGAAGCCAAATTGGCGCTCACAATTGGCATACTGTACAGACTGACACACACAAAAGGTGTAAAGGCAAGAGGGTAGAGAAGTACACGGACGACTGCTATTTCCTCCCACACCTTTTTACTTTCTAATGGTACTGCCTTTTGGAGGGGACTAGGCTAATTGTACTGAAATAAAATGTCACATAGTATGAATTTGTCTAATTGTTGTCATATAACTTGTTTCTGTATTTCCTGTATTTCTAGTAAATTAGAAATTACTGCTAAAGGCTTGAAAATTCAGATTGAAATTTTTGCAAGGATGTTCCATAGAGGATGGTGTAGTTCTTCATGTTGTATCATATTGTATTGTACAGAAGGTCAAATTATTCCCCATTTTATGATGTACTTTTTACTCACCCAGTTGTGGTTGTGACCACTGGATTTTTCCATTGCAAATGTAAAATTTTTCCTTCTTCATAATTAGCAAGTAAACTTTGATTTAATACTCTGAGACTATGCAATTAACCAGTTCTCATTAGCTCTTCAAATTCTAGTGTTTAGCATCCAATGACAATCTTGCTTGAATCAATTATTTCAGAGTTATGAGGGTGATTTATAACTATTGTTTCTTTTACAATTATTACCTGGCATTCTCTTGGTTTTGAAAGAAAAAGGAGAAGGAAAGGAAAACAAAAAAATATCTTTTTTATCAAGTGAGAATGAATTATAATTTCTTCTAACAAGGCAAGCCAAATGTTTATATGCATATCTATTTCCCTTTAGTTAAAATTTTCACTGTAAGAATTTGTTATAATAATGATTTTCAGTAGTGATGAGTTGATTCTCTCTTGCACATACACAAAACATTCATAGATTTTGTTTATTCAATATTTTGCATTCAATTATCATCAGTGTAATACTATTGCATATATTATCATAGTGTGTGAAATTTATCAGAAAATATATCCTTCTTTATAATGCCTACCTTTTGTCTCATAGTGGCTTATGAAATGTAAATAATGTATTTGTCAACATATATCTTTAATGTATTTGTGGTATTTGGAATAGCAAGTCCTCGGTTTATATGTTGTGACTTCTAAATTCATTTTCCCACAATAAGCTTTTTTAAAAGGGCATATTTTCTTTGTTACCTTAAGAAATAATGAGTCCATTTATTTTGTTCATAGACCTATAAATAAAAGAAAGATTAAATTTACTGATGATCTCTATTAATTTTAAAGACTTACAACCTGTGTGCAATTAAAAAAAATATTTTTAGCTCAAAGATTCATTCTAATCTTTAGGAACACAAGAACCATTCTTAATTTGATAACACTAAATCAGCATTAGTTTTGTATGTTGTAGCTTTGTAATTGAAGTGTATCAACATATAATTAAGTTTCTAATGTGTGCTTTCTAAGTGATTGATTTTTAAAGAGTAATTTATGTACATATGGTCTTTTCTAGAAAGCACAAAAGGTTTTTCCTTGAGGGTTGTAGAAGCAGAAAATATGGCAGTGTACAGTTTTCACAAATGAACATTTAATAAGAGTACCCTGCCAAATAAAACCAATTTATATGCAATTGTAAAACACAAATACTTAATGTGGTTTTTAAGGCACTGACTTGCATTAAATCGGTCACCTCCGTGAGTCATAGGTGTTGATTTTTTAAAACATTATTGATTTGTTAAAGCAAAAGGTATCTTGGGTTCATAATTTTTCTCATTATGAAACACTAAGTAGCTAGACGCTTTTAAAGTAGTGATTCAGGTAAGAGAATCTAATTTTAAAAGACTAGCTAGTTTTAAACTTCTTTTCTAGTGCATCTCTTAACAATTTCTAGGACCATTTGGAATATAATTGAAAATAGGTTTTTTATTTAGTCAGCCTTTATTAAGTTCTTGTTATTTGATGATGGTTGGCAAAGATACATTATTCTGGACACTAAATGTGAACATATTAGTGCCACATAAAGTATATTTTTGTAGCCATAAATAAAGAACATTTAGTAAAATATGCTTCCTCGTAAATGCTGCATTACCATCACATTGTGGCGTATTTTATTTCTTTCTCATTCACTATTGGTTCTTACTGTTACTCTCTATGCCTTACCACTGTTCCATCAATTACTTAATATTATTAAAAGCACTATAATCATCATAGCAAAAGCATGAAGACTTGTAACATTCGTGAATACAGGAGATCTGCGTCTATCACTGGTAATGTATGATCTCTTTGTGATCCTTTATATTAAGATGCTGCAACAGACGGTTTGTTATGAGCTGAATTGTACTCTCCTTCTTCCTAAAATTCATATGTTGAATTTAACCGGAAGAACCTCAGAGTGTGATCTTATTTTGAAATAGGGTCATTGCAGGTCTAATTAGTTAAGAAGAGGTCATACTGGAGTAGAGTGGAAACTTAATCCCATGTAACTAGTATCCTTATAAAAGGGGGTAATTTGGACACAGCCACATATCAGGGAAAATTCCATGTTAACATGAAACAGCCATCTAAAAGCCAAGGAGAGAAACTTGGAACAGACCCTTCACTCACAGCCCTCAGAAGAAACTGCCAAATTAAAGGGGAAAAAAAATCAAGCTTTTAAATAATTAACATTAGTTTTTTTCAGAAGTCTTACTGAAGACTCTAGACCAAGGCCTACAGCCTGGGAGCAGTCCTTCAGAGAGGTCTGATCTGACTGCTCCAATGCAGTGTTTCAGTTCAGTTTATATACAGGTAGTGAAGATTGAGTATGTGCACAATTACATCTAAGTTTGGGTGCAGGATTACATCTGGTCATAGTTTACAGAAGCATAATCACTAACTCAGTCACATGTTATCTTATGTGTAGGAAAATACAAGGACTGGGGTTATTTATCTTTTAAGGAATATAGTGACTCAGGCAAGAGACACGGAGGAACTTGTTTTCTATCCTGTTTTGTCTTCAAAGCATCTTTCCAGAGAGCTGCTCGTCATCACAGAGTCAAGGGTTTTGGGAAATTATTCTGGCAAGCAGAAATAACCAAACATGGCTTCTTACATTTGCTAATTTGTCTCAGGACCAAATCCTACCATTACCTTGATTTTGAACTTCTAGCTTCCAGAATTTTCAGATGACAAATTTCAGTTTATTAAGCCATCCAGATTGTGGCACCTTTTAATGGCATCCCTAGGAAACTAATACACAGTATGGCTGTATTCTTACAAGGGTGGCTTAAAACAGAATCCATATACTATAATAAATTTTAAAGAAGTATACATGTTACTAATGTATTATTATCTATTATATATCAGGGTTGAACATAATTAACTTGTTTGTAACACGATGACTCCAGTCTGGATTGATGCTTGCTGGCATAACTTGTCTATTTTCATTTTATTATAGACTATATATTCACATCATTGAGTATGATTGTACATTAAAGTGCCTGAAGCTAAATTGGCTGACATTTTCCCAGGCTGAGAGAAAGTGTAAGAATTACGTCCAGAAAGCTCTCTCTATGATGCTCAGGAGCATTACATGCAGATGAGACAGAGGACTGCCAACTCAATGGATCATCCCAGAAAAGCTTTCTTTTCCTTGTGTCCATGACTGTCCAAACAGCTTGAAAGATAGTGGATATTTATCTTCTTTAAGTAATTGGCCAGTGTAATTAAATAGATGTAATGACAGTTCCATTGTATTAGATAGAATGTTAAATCAATATTACACTGTCACTTCACTTTATTCTGAAACTGACAAAATAGTTTTATAAAACCGTTTTTTGTGGTTTTGTTTCTTTTTGAAGTACATAATTATATTAGAAGTATATAACACACATTTTTATCCCAAATAGTGAAACTTCACCTTATAAATACACTAGTAAAAGATGTTGGCTATATGCCAGTATCATATTTTGAAGTAAAATTATAGATAATAATCTCACTACCCAAATTAAAAGTCTATATTTCAAACTGTGAGTTTTTATATTTCTATCAACAGAAGATGTGTAAAATAAAACGGTTATATTGCCAACATTTTAGGCTATAATGTTTAGAACTATTGTTGAAGAAGCATATAAATTATATTTGCTAATTTTTTAACTTTTAGTTTCAGGGGTACATGTGTAGGTTTGTTAAATAGGTAAACTTATGTCAGGAGGTTTGTTGGACAGATTATTTCATCGCTAAGTCTAGAACCCAATAGTTATTTTTTCTGCTCTTATCCCTCGTCCCACCCTCCACCCTCAAGTAGAACAGTGTCTGTTTTTCCCTTCCTTGCGCTCATGACTTCTCAACATTTAGCTCCCACTTACAAGTGAGAACATGCAGTATTTGGTTTTCTGCTCCTGCTTTAGTTTATTAAGGATGATGGCTCCAGCTCCATCCATGTTTCTGCCAAGGACATGATCTTATTCTTTCTTATGGCTGCATAGTATTCCATGGTATATATGTACCACATTTTCTTTATTCAATCTACCATTGATGGGCATTTAGGTTGATTTCAATGTCTTTGCTATTGTGAATAGTGCTGCAATGAACATTTGTGTGCCTGGGTTTTTATGGCAGAATGATTTATATTCCTCTGGATGTATATCCAGTAATGGGATTGCTAGGTTGAATGGTAATTCTGTATTTAGTTCTTTGACAAATTGCCACACTGCTTTCTACAATAGTTGACCTAATTTACAATCCCATCAACAGTGTATAAGTATTCCCTTTTTTTCTTCAACCTCGTCAGCACCTGTTATTTTTTGACTTTTTAGTAATAGCCATTCTGACTGATGCGAGATGGTATCTCATCATGGTTTTGCTTTGCATTTATCTAATGATCAGTGATGTTGAGCTTTCAAAAATATGCTTGTTGGCTCTATATTTGTCCTCCTTTGAAAAGTATCAGTTCACATTCTTTGCCCATTTTTTAATAGGGTTTTTTTCTTGTAAATTTGTTTAAGTTTCTTATAGATGCTGGAAATTAGACCTTTGTTAGGTGCATAGTTTGCAAATATTTTATCTCATTCTGTAGGTTGTCTATTTACTCCATTGATAGTTTCTTTTTCTGTGCAGAAGCTCTTTAGTTTAATTAGATTCCAATTGTTAATTTTTTTGGTTGCAATTTCTTTTGGCATCTTTCTTATGAAGTCTTTGCCAGTTCCCACATCCAGATCAGTGTTGACTAGGTTGTCTTCCATGGTTTTTATAGTTTTATATTATGTCTTAACCATTTTGAGTTGATTTTTGTATATGGTATAAGGAAGGGGTCCAGTTTCAGTCTCTTGCCTATGGCTAGCCAGTTATTACAGTACCATTTATTGAATAGGTAGTCCTTTCCCCATTGCTTGTTTTTGTCAAGTTTGTTGAAGATCAGATGGTTGTGGGTATGCAGCCTTATTTCTGGGCTGTCTGTTCAGTTTCATTGGTCTATGTGTCTTTTTGTGTACCAGCACCATGCTGTTTTAGTTACTATAGCCCTCTACTATAGTTTGAAGTCAGGTAATGTAATGCCTCCAGCTTTGTTCTTTTTGCTTAGGAATGCCTTGGCTATTTGGGTACTTTTTCATTTCTGTGTGAATTTTAAAACAGTTTTTTTTTTTTTTAAGTCTGTGAGGAATGTCATTGGTACTTTGATAGGGATAGCGTTGAATGTGTAAATTATTTTGGCCATTATGGCCATTTTGATGATATTGGTTGTTCTTATCCATAAGTATGAAATATGTTTTCATTTGCTTGTGCCCTCTCTGATTTATTTGAGCAGTGTTTTGTAATTCTTATTGTAGAAATCTTTCACCTCCCTGGTTAGCTGTATTCCTAGGTATTTTATTCTTTTTGTGGCAATTGTGAATGGGATTGTATTCCTGATTTGTCTCTCAGCTTGGCTATTGTTGGTGTACAGGAATGCTAATAATTTTTGTACATTGATTTTGTACCCTGAAATTTTGCTAAAGATTTTTGTTTTTTCAGCTTAAGAAGCCTTCTGGTAGAAACTATGGGGCTTTCTAGATATAGGATCATATCATCTGCAAACAGGGATCGTTTGATTTCCTCTCTTCCTATTTGGATGCGCTTTATTTCTTTCTCTTGCCTGAATGCTCTGGCCAGGACTTCCAATACTCCGTTGAATAGGAGTGGTGAGAGAGAACATCCTTGTCCTCTGTCTGTTTTTAAGGGGAATGCTTTCAGCTTTTACCGATTCAGTATGATATTGGCTGTGGATTTGTCATACATGGCTCTTATTATTTTGAGTTATGTTCCTTCAATGCCTAGTTTATTGAGAGTTTTTAACATGAAGGGATGTTAAATTTTATTGAATGCCTTTTCTGCATCTATTGAGATAATCATGTGTTTTTTGCTTTAGTTCTATTTATGTGATAAATCACTTTTATTGGTTTGTCTATATTGAATCAATCTTGAATCCCAGGGATAAAGCCTACTTGATTGTGGTGAATTAGCTTTTTGATGTGCTGCTGGATTCAGTTTTCAAGTATTTTCTTGAGGAGTTTTGCATCAATGCTTATCAAGGCTATTGGCCTCATGTCTTTGTTGTTGTTGTGTCTGCCAGGTTTGGTATCAGGATGATGCTAGCCTCACAGAATGAGTTAGAAAGGAGTACCTATTCCTTGATTTTTTGAAATATTTTCAGTAGGAATGGTACCAGCTCTTCTTTGTACATCTGGTAAAATTTGGCTGTGAATCTGTTGGGTCCTGGGCTTCTTTTTTGGTGGGTAGTCTATTTATTACTGATCCAATTTTGGAGCTCATTTATGGTCTTTTCAGGGAATCAATTTCTTTCTGTTTCAATCATGGGAGGGTGTATATGTCCAGAAATTTATCCATCTCTTCTAGGTTTTCTAGTTTGTGTGCATAGAGGTGTTCATAGTAGTCTCTGATGGTTATTTGTATTTCTGTGGGGTCAGTGGAAAAATTTTCCTTTTTGTTTCTAATTGTGTTTATTTGTATCTTCTCTTTTCTTTTTTATTAGTCTAGATAGTGGCCATTCTTGCTCTCCATTAATCTTAATGTAGTCTCAAACTTATACAGTGTGTCTATTGATTATTTATACCATTTTCCTCTGTAATTTTCTTTCAGAAGGCAACTCTCAGCAACCTAAGACTATAGCATGAAAATCTCATCTCATCTAGGTTTTCTTTCTAAAGTATGTAGAAATAATGGATGTCAAAGGAAACAATATATGACCTTTCTGATTTTTTTCTCTATAAGTAAAATATAAAACATTTCTATTTGCCAAGTTCTATACAGTAGTTATTTTCATTAAAGTAAGTGATTTCCTCATTTAACTTTTCACAATGGAATTCCATATTTCTTCCTTCTTATGCCTTTCCGTTTCTCAGGATCCCAGGTGTTTTTGAGCAGATGGGTGATAAAATTAAAGCATGTTCATCAATATTACGTTTATCAGTCAGAAAGAAAGGAAAGGAAAAAGGGAAATATAATAAAAATTAAGGTAGCATACTAATAGCAAATGAAGGTAACAGCTACACCCTGAGGACCAGGGCAAGGATCACCAAATTATGATCTGAGGGCCAAATCCAGTCAGTCACCTCTTTTTTAGGACAAACTAAGAAGAATGTAAACATTGATTAACTTTTATATAAGCTTCTACATGCTAATATTGATTTTGCTTCAGAACCTAAAATATTGACTATATGGGCTTTTAATAAAAATATTTTTGACCCCTGAATGAGAGGAATAAATGGAAGGGGTTGGGATTATAGTATCCAGAATCTAGGAGAACACATTCCTAGGAGCTGAGTTTCCCTCCCCTCTCTTAAAATCTCTGATAGATTTGCATTCAGGTTGCTTCTAGAGATGTCAAAAGGGGTTGAAGTCCAGAATCAGCTGTGGTTGCTATGTTGCAGGGCCATTGAAGGGGGTCAACTAGGAGGAACAATGTGCAACCAGAAGCAGTAAGTCTTACTCCTTGCCTTCTGCTTTCAGCAGTGTTTTATTCCTCTCTGTCAGTAACTGTAGAGCCGCAGCCCTAGCTTGTGATGCTGAGAGCTATGAATATTTGGAGCTGAAAGACTACTGCTTGTTAACCAATGTGGGTGGTATTCCCAGTGGCTCTGGATTATCTAACAAGTAAAAGAGATGCTTTGAGTTTAGGTAATATAACTTTCAAGACAGAAGGGATAATAAAAACTAATAATAATGATAATAAATAAAACACTGAAAAAATACCTAAATCTATTAAGCGTGCTTTGCCTGCTCTCTGTTCTCATTCCAGGGTGTGTATTTCCTCCCATGGACAATTTTTTGGCACCTTAAGTATTACTTGGATTCACTACAGTCACTTTCTTTTATTCAAAATAAGACAAATTAGGTTCCCACATGGCTTCTTTTCATAAGTACATGATTAATTCTAACCATAGCAAGCTTAGATAAGTGTTAACTGCCCCCATGGTAGGGACAAATTATCTTCATTCCCTTCTGCTCCAACTCATTCATGTATGGTTAATTCAAATTAAGAATTGATTATTATCCTAACCTAGGCTCTTACTTTCAGAAATGTAGTGTACAAATGTAAATTAATGGAACTGATAACCAATTCTTCCCTTATACGTATACTTCTGAGTCATAAATTAGCATTGTTTCCTGGCTTTGTCTTCTGTTTGTCATTGGATTCTTATTGAGTACAACGTTCTCTGAACTGAACTCATTAACACAATTTAAATTTTACATGCATTCCTTGGCAAAGATCGGGGGGAACAGACATTATGTTAATGGGTCAATAATGTGAGTGTCAGATTGGTTGAAAAATATACACTCAAAGGTCAAGAGGCACGTATTGGTTTTTTAGGGCTGCCATAACAAAATACCACAGAATGGGTGGTTTAAACAAACAGAAATTTATTTTCTCACAGTTCTTGAGACCAGAAGTCCAAAATCAAGGGGAAAGTACGGCTGGTGTCTGGTAAAAGCTCTCTCCATGGATGGCACATGAATATTATCTCCCTGTGTGTTCACATGACCTCTTCTTTATGCATAGAGGGAAAGTGAGCAAGCCCTGTGTTGTCTATTCTTATAAGAACACAAATCCTATGGGATCAGGGTTCCATTTGTATGACCACAGTTAACCTTCATTTTCCCCTTAGACTCTAACTTCATATATGGCCACACTGGAAGTTAAATCTTCCACATATGCATTTTAGGACAACAAACATTCAGTCTATGACAAGGCAGGAAAGACACACTTTTCTTTGTCTCTCTTACAATCAAAACAAGAGTTTGTTTGGTAATGGCTTTTATTTTCTTTTGTAGGTCTCTACCTAATACAAAAAAATCTATTTTCAACCTTTTTATTATTTTGCAAGAATTGTAGATAGTAATTCAATTAAGTCTAAAATAATATCTTAGTTAGTTCAGGCTGCCATAACAAAGTATGGTGAACTAGGTGGCTTATACACAACAGACGTTTATTCCTCTCAGTTCTGGGGGCTAGAAGTCTGATATCAGAGGACATGGCCAGCCTTATTGGGTTCTGGCAAGCACCCTCTTCCAGGTTGTCGGCTGCCAACTTCTCTTTACGTTCTTACATGGGGGAAGGAGGGCTAGAGTGCTTTTTGCTGTCCCCTTTATACAGATACTAATGCCATCCATGAGTGCTGCACCCTCATGACCTAAGTACCTCACAAAGGCTACAACTCCTAATACCAACACATGGGGTTTAGGATATCAAAATGTGAATCTGGGAAAGTCACAAGCATTCAGTTCATAACAAATAACATGATTACACCAGACCAGAAATGATCCACATTGGTAACAGAAACAAAAGCTGACCAAAAGTGAGCATTTTTACTTTGAGGAAAATATTGCTTGTCTTGTGTTTGCACTTGTGACATTCATCCTTGTACTAGACCAACAGGAAGGACATTTTCTACATAAAGTATTTTTACATGTAACTTATGGAGTAATTTGTGTAAGGTTAGCAGTTTGGCAGTTGAACGTTGAAGAACACTAAAGGAAATATCCTTTAGTAAAATGCAGCAATTAAAGAAACAGGTTCATTTGTATGTGAAGCAATTGCTGAGAAGTACAAGGTTATTTTGCTTAAAAAATAGCAAAATACCAAAATATATCAAGTTATTGTAAACTTTCTCTCTTTTTCACATTTACCCATGGTAACACACACGCAAAAATCCTGAACTTTTAAAAAGAAATCCCCTGTAAAGGTGTATTTAAAAATAGGTTATAGAAGCACCAGGGATCTTACCGTAAATCTAAATTTGGTAAACAAGATATGAATATATAAGCCAGAATTATAACAATGAAATTACATAGGAGAGGATGAATATGAAATACATTTAGAAAACCCATTATAGGCATAGGATTCAATGACTATGTACTACTGAGCCAACCTGTTAAATGGAGTAATTTTTAGTTTTCTTTAAATATAGTTTTTTTAAAAAACTCCCTCAAGTTTATAATGAAGAATGAATGAGATAATACATGCAATGATGCCTTCAACCATTGTAAAGTACATACATTTTTTATTTTTTAATGATATTTGAAAATGAGCCTTATAGAGCCACAAGGGAGGGAGATATTAAATGTAACTTCATAATTATTTTATTATAGTTGTAATATGTGTCTCAAAGTAAAATGATATACTGTTGTAGCAGTTTATAAATAGGGTACTTGGTTTAGCTGAGGGAATTTATTGTTAAGTAGTTAATATAAACACAGAATTTTGCTACAATTATAGTTAAAATAACTGGCAGTATAATTCAGTTTTTCTTCTTGATTCTCCTTACAGCATAAAGAGAATACAGGCATGTTTTCATGTTTCTCAAGATTTCTGGTGTAAAACTTTCCAAAACATCTTTATTGACAAAAATACAATCTTTTTAAGATAATATTCACATATAAAAATACCGTGGAGTAAAAGAGATTGTTTAATTTTGAGCTCCAATACTCTGATAAACCTCAATTTCTACCATATATTTAGTTATTAACCTCAATTTCTACCATATATTTAGTCATTTTACTTATTTTACCATGAGTTTTTATTATACAAATAATGGAAAAATGTGCATTTGTTTGCTTATTTGTGATATAGAAAAAAGTCTGATGTATAGTCGCATTTCCAGACTTCATTAAAAATTCAAGCTTCTCATTTCCCTCAGCATAGGCTGCTTCTCATACAGAAGTCTGTAGTAGGGTGAAGAAGCATGATCACTTTTCTTCTGCACACCAGTGTTGCTTTTCTTCTAGGCCTCAGCTCACTCCTAGTACTTCAGCCTCATTTTCTTTTTCTCCCATGGTTGAAGTGTGGAGGAACAGAAAGGAGATAAATCAGGAAATGATTTATTTTATTGACATTAATATGTTTCTGCTTTTTTAATAGACAATGAAGATGTTTGGAGCTCAATTCTACTAGGGTTGAATTCGTGAGGTTTTTGGAGACTCTCCCTTAACATAGATAATTCGTCTGTAGATTTCTTAACACTTCTATTCTCCATCTGGGGTCTTAGCTCTTTGTTCTCAATTTCTGGTTTGCAACAATAGACCCAACACAGATGTTCTCTTCTGGTGCTTCATCAGCTAACTGTCTTAGACAAAGTCCCTTTAAAATAGCTCCAGGTAAATTCTCTTTGCTACATAGATCTAAAGGGAATATATTCTGACATTATTTGCCCAGAAATCTCTGAAGTGAAGCTTGTTTCCTAGATAGCCATCTCCCCTCAGTCAATCAGATGGTTAGCCAATCATCTTCGCAGGCTTTCAGGCTTCTCAGCCATGAGTATGGAACCAGCCATTGTGCTCCCTTTCCCCTAAGATGTCAAAGAAAACAGTCCAAGATCCCTTTATGATCTTCTGAACCTTTTCTTACTGTGTTAAAAACAAGATTGAAGCATCATCCTCTATTATGACTGCTATGAAAAGGGTCAGACTCACACTGTACTAGCAATGTCTTCCAAAAAAAATCCTCCCCATCTGATTTTTCAAAACTACTGCCTTTATACACTCAAAGGAGATAACCTAAATAATTGACAATTAATTTTTCACCACCTCTTTTCTCATCCCTTCCCAAGTCATCTGACAACTCATAGATGTTGGGGATCATAACATGAGACATCTGATATTGAGTCAGTAACAATCCCATTTGGTGTCCTAGTACAAAAATACAAAAAATCATAAGCAAAATGACAAGAGTACCATAGACAATGCTGACAAAGTCTTTAAATCATTTGCAATACTTTCTTAAATTAGCTCATTATTAATTTCCTGCCAGGAAATCATTGCCCTAAACAATGTATGTAATTCTGATATATGTCATTATTAACTCTATTTTGCTGACAGCTGAATGAATGGGTGATTTTTTTTCTTATTTTAGGACATAGGGAACTGTTTTAAACATTTATTTTGAAATAAAATGCACTGTATAATTATGTATAAAATGCATCATTCATTTCAGAATTAGTTTATCTTTTCAAGAGTTTTCTTGGGCTGCACAATTGATCATACATTTTTCATACTATTTTAGATTTGTACATTTTTGAATTTTGGTATAATTTAGTTCCAACTGTGTTAGAAAATGAATACCAAATACTATCTGGAGGCAAACTGAGGGGAAAAGTGCTTTATCTGATAAACTGAAATGTTAGGTCATTAATCATATACTTCCTCATCATATATTTTATCCCCAAGACAGATTATTTGCATTCAAGTCATACAAGGAGGCTTATAAGTCACAGCCGTATCTAAAGTGAGAAACCTGGGGATATTTAATATTCTTTAAGTCTTCATTCTAACCTCCTAGTTTTCTTTTATACATTCAAGAGGCTATAAAATTAGAAACAAACAAATAAACAAAATAACACTTTCTCAACTCCTTTGAAGCTAAGATTCTTCAGGTAGATGTACTCACATAAAACTTGCAGGCAGAAGAAAGAAATATGATCAAACGGGTTGGTGAAGAAGTTTTGGTCTTTTGGCTCTTTCTCTTCTGAAACCTCTGATAGATATTTTATACAGAATTATACAGTACATTATATTTCAAAATGAATGTTTTAAATGGATCTCTGTGTCCTGAAATAAGAAAAAAATTTCCATTCATTTAGCTGTCAGTGAAATAAAGTTAATAATGACTTATATACCATAATGACTTATCAGAGGTGACTACTTCCAGGTGGTTGCAAAACAAGTTTTATAACAATGGCACCAGTGTTTCTTCTGGCCATTTTCTGCCACACATAATCCAAGTCTTATTCTCTTGTCTATATATTTTAGTAAATTATTATTTTCTTAAACTAGCAAGAATGTATTCTATGTTGTCCAGCTAAGATAGCAGGGAGCAATGAAGACATTAGAGGCCTAGTACGATACAAATAAAGAAGTGATGGTTTCTGACTTGAATGGGCTTGAGGACTGTGCAATTCTAGTTAGAAGTTGAGAAGATTTGGTAAAGATTTTTTTTTTTTTTTATGTCGCCAAAGAAGATGGGTGGAAAGTTGTAAACCTTCTCTAGACATACAGGATACTATTATTTGACAGTTTAAGGGCCATAGGAAATTCAAGACTATGGAAAGGGCTGATTCCTTCTAATTAGGAAAGATGATAAAATGAAAATTTAAAGATTTGAAAAGACCAATGCAAGGCTTTGTCAGAGAATCAAGAAGCTTCTTTTATTTTTTTAAGTGCCATATATATATATTGCAGCAGCTCTGATTAATGAAAATTGGGTTTAAAATTTACATCCTTGCCAAGAGAAATATATAACTTTCTTTAGAAGAATGTGGAAACCTTGAGAGAATTTGGGTGACTCTAAGTAATGAGAACTTAATCCCACTAAAACTTCCTTGCCAGCAGAAGTAGTACATTTTTTCACCTCTTGATATATTGAGGGTGTTTCTTCCTTTTATAAAAGCACAGAAGAGCTTCAGCAAAAACAGTACTAAGAGGGAAGTTTATAGTAATAAATGTCTACATTTAAGAAAGATCTGAAATAAACAACTATAAGAAACTAAAAAAAGAACAAGTTACAAGCAAAATTAACAAAAGGAAGGAAATAATAAAGACCAGAACAGAAATAAACAAAATGGAGAATACAAAAACAATAGGAAAAAACCCCAGTAAAACAAAGAGTTGGTTCTCTGAAAGATGTGATTGAAAACCCCTTAACCAGTGGGAGAAAAAAAAAGAGAGAAGGCTGAAATAAAAGCAGAAACATAAGAGTAGTCATAATAAAGATGCCACAGGAATAAAAAGATAAGAAACTACCATGAAAATTACTTATTAGCAAATGGGACAACCTAGAATAAATGAACAAATTCCTAGAACCATAAAACCTGTCAAGCGTGAATCAAGAAGAAATAGAAAGCCTGAACAGACGAATAATAATAAAAAAAAAAGTCAGTAATTCAAAACCTCTCAAAAAAGAATAGCCCAGGGCAAGATGACTTCACAGGTGAATTCTAAAAAATACTGAAAGTATAATTAATGCCAAACCTTTGTATACTCTTCCCTCAAATAGAAGAAGATGGAATATATCCAAACTCATTTTATTAGGCAAGCATCACCCTAATAACAACACAAAGCAAAGACGACACAACAAAATAAAAGTACAGGCAAATACTCCTGATGAATATAGATGCAAAAATCCTCAACAAAATATTAGCAAACTGAATCCAATAGCACAATAAAAAGACCATACATCATGGCCAAGTAGGATTTACCCCTCCAACGCAAGGGCTGTTTAATATACACAAATCAATTAATAACTACACTACATTAACAGAAAGAAGGATTAAAATCACACAATCGTCTCAACAGAGAGAAAAAATGTTAGAAAAAATTTAAGACAATGTTGTGATTAAAAACTTTCAATAAATTAGGTATAGAAAAAACTTACAACACAATAAAGGTCATATATGAAATGCCCACAGTTCACATTATAGGCAATGGTGAAAAATTAAAAACTTTTTCTGTAAGACCTGGAATTAGGCAAGGTTGTTTATGCTTGCTACTTCTATTTAACATGGCACTAAAAGTCCTAGCCAAAGAAATTAGGCAAGAAAAAGAAATAAAAGGCATTCAAATTACAAAGGGAGATGTAAAATTATCTATATTCATAAATGACATAATATTACATGTAGAAAACCCTAAAGTGCCACCTCACATTGTTAAAACTAATGAATTTAGTAAAATGTAGGCTACACAATCAGTTGTATTTCTATACACTAACAAGAAACTGTCTGGAAAAGAAATCAAGACAATAATCCCATTTACAATAGCATCAAAAAGAAGAAAATACTCAGGAATAAAGTTAACCAATGGGGAGAAAGGCTTGTACACTGAATACCATAAAACAAAGAAAGAGTTTAAAGCAGACACATGTAAATGAAAAGATATCTTGTGTTCATTGGTTAGAAAAATTAAAATTGTGGGGGCCGGGCGCGGTGGCTCACGCCTGTAATCCCAGCACTTTGGGAGGCTGAGGCGGGTGGATCACCTGAGGTCAGGAGTTTGAGACTAGCCTCAACATGGAGAAACCCCGTCTCTACTAAAAATACAAAATTAGCCGGGCGTAGTGGTGGATGCCTGTAATCTCAGCTACTCGGGAGGCTGAGGCAGGAGAATTGCTTGAACCTGTAAGGCAGAGGTTGCGGTGAGCCGAGATTGCGCCATTGCACTCCAGCCTGGGCAACAAGAAAGAAACTCCGTCTCAAAAAAAAAAAAAAAAGAAAGAAAGAAAAGAGAAAATAAAAAGAAAAAAGAAAAATTAAAATTGTGACAGTGCCTTTAATACCGAAAGCAATCTACAGATTCATTGCAATCCCTATCAAAATACCAATGACATTTTCCCACAGATATATATATATATGAAATATATACATATTTATTATTGAATATATGATATTAAATGTATTTGTATATTTGATATTTTAATTTAATATATTAAAAAAATATGTATACATATACATGTGTCTTAAAGTTTATATGGAAACACAAACGTTGCTAGAGAGCCAAAGGAATTTTGAGCAAGAAAAATCCTGGAGGCATCTTAGTTTCTAATTGCGGAATATATTACAAATGGCATAAAATCAGACATATAGATCAATGGAACAAAATAGAGAATCTAGAAATAAATCCACACATAGTCCGTCAACTGATTTTTGACACGGGTGCGAAGAATACACAATGGGGAAAGAATAGTCTTTTCAAAAAATCATGGTGGGAAAACTGGAAATAGACAAAGAAGTGAAAAATACATTTGAACCTTTATTTTAAACCACACACAAAAATAAACTCAGAACAGACTACATATTTAAATATCAGATCTGAAACCATAAAACTCCTAAAATAAAACATAGGGGAAGACCTTGGCCTTGGCTTTGGCTATGATTTCATGAATATGACACCAAAAGCACAAGCAACATAAGTAAAAAGATACAAGTGGGATTACATAAAACTAAATGGTTTCTGCAGCGCAAAGGAAACAATCAACAAAATGAAAAAAACAATCTAAAAATTGGAAGAAATATTTGCAAATGATTTTTCCAATAAAGGGTATTTATTTCTCTTGCTTGCCAAATGTGACCCTAACTCTTTGGTCACTGTGAAATTTAAATCAGAATCTCAAAGAGATATCTGCACTCCCATGTCCATTGCAGCATTATTTACAATAGCCAAGATGTGGGGGCAACCTAAGAGTCCATCAAATGATAAATGGATAAAGAAAATGTGCTATATACAGAAAATGGAGTATTATTCACCTTTAAAAAATGTTGCCAGTCGGGCACGGTGGCTCACGCCTATAATCCCGGAACTTTGGGAAGCCTAGGCAGACGGATTGCTGAACTCAGGAGCTCGAGATCAGCCTGGGCAACACGGTGAAACACCGTCTCTACTAAAATACAAAAAATTAGCCGGGCGTGACAGCGTGCGCCTGTAGTCCCAGCTGCTCGGGAGGCTGAGGCAGGAGAATTGCTTGAACCCGGGAGGCGGAAGTTGCAGTGAGACGAGATGCTGCCACTGCACTTCAGCCTGGGTGACAGAGTGAGACTCCGTCTCCAAAAAGAAAAAGAAAGAAAAAAAATGTTGCCACATGCAACAACATGGAGCATTCTAGAGGACATTATGCTAAGTGAAATGAGCCAGACACAGAAGGACAAATACCACATTATCCCACTTATATGACGAATCTAAAGTAGTGAAACTCAGAAACAGAGTGGAATGGTGGTTGCCAGGGGATAGCGGGGGAGTGTCAGAATGGAAAGTACTGGTCAAATGCTACATAGTTTCGGTTATGCAAGACGAACAGATTCTAAAGCTCTAATGTACTGCATAGTGCCTATAGTTTACAATCCTGAATTCTATACCTAAAAATTTCTGAGAGGACAGATCTGATGCTATGTTCTTATCACAAAAAAAGAGTAACTTTTGCAGGCAATGGATATGTTTATGGCATTGATTGTGATGGTTTCATGGGTATATATTATCTGCAAACTAATCAAGTTATATACATTAAATATGTACGCTTTTAAATGTTAATCATACCTCTATGAAGCAATTTAATTAAAAATATCAGAGAAGGTCATTTTCACAATTCCACTATGGAGTTTCCAGGACCACAACTATAAAAATATCTTGAATAGATGTGAAGAGCCCTGATCTTATCAATTTGAATTACCTCCACTTCATTTCCACCTTAGTTTATATTTATACTCAAGGGCAGTTGTCATTGTATGAGGGTCAAGGGAAAGGAAAAAGAAAAAGAAAAATACACTCCTGAAGGGTTCCCATTCAAAAGGAATGCCATTTCTCCTGATGACTCTCTTCTTTCCTCCTCCAGAGCCTCTAGATCAATGCTTAGCGCCAGATTTCCACAGCTCCACTGCATCAATAACTTCAAAAACAAAGATCATAAAATAAAGAAATTCAACACTGCTAATTTAAAGCAGTAAGACTCTGAGAAATGTCTATGAAACCCTATACAGTTTGTGTTAGATAAATACAGGGAGGTAATTTTAAATTATACTAAATATATTGATATAAATGAACTGAAGAGAGATTTTTTTTTCAGTCAATATGCTAGTTCAAGCAGCTATAAATGGTGTAACTGGGTTTTTTTTAGATTTATGTTTTGATTAGTGTGCCTATAACCTTCATTCAGTAATGCCTATGGTAAATGAAGTTAAGATCTCAGAAATCCTTCAGTTTGATATAGCAAAATAATCTAAATATTTATGACAATGGTGTAAAATTAAACAGGTTCTTTAGACCTGCTCAGTTACTATCTAAATGCATTCCAGAAGAAGACATAGAACATGGTTTATTTATCCAAGGTATTTTGGAAAAAAAAATCTTTTGAAGAGAGATTCAGCATATTTGAAAAATGCTATAGTGTTTTTCTCTCTGCAATTTGAGAATGACAGTGGAATATGCTGCCTTTGAAGTGAAATTATTGATTTTCTTGGTAGTGTTGACACTCTAGTGTGACAAAAGCCAGGTAGCAACATGTCAACTGCAAAGGAAAGTTGTCATTAAGGGTAAGGTAAGTAATGAGAGTGATGTGATCAGCAGGGATGTTTTTGTCATGACTAATTGAAATTGTGGGTTTTAAAAACCAAAAGCGATGAACAACCCATTAAGTCCTGTTCTGTCTATATAGCAGAAAAACAAACAAACAAGAAAATCAACTATAAAACTGGTGAATGAAGGCCAGACATGAGACACAATGAGAGTCATGCTCTTTCACCTAATTCTAAGACTTGGTAGCATTAGACACATTGACACTATGCCTCTATCGGCATCATGTTTACCTTGTGTAAGAATTCTCTGGGTAAAAAAAAATGAAAGCCATAAGATGTTTCTTCGAAAAGGGCATCACATTGTCATAAAAATGTAATTTCTAGAAAAAAATCAGATGCATCTAGTCGTTCTCTATTTTTTCATCTCCCATTAAATTGGTTGTTGCCATTGCTGTCTTAATTTTCCTTCTCTCTGCTACTCTGCTGTGGATTTATAACACCTCCCCTGTCAGCTTCTGATATCTAGTAGCATTTATTTCACTTCCTTGCCAAATGTGACCCTAACTCTGTGGTCACAAACTGAATGTACCACCTATCCTCTGCCTTCTGGTAAAATGTCTGCTTGTTCCAAGTTTTCATATTTCTGAAATATATATGCACTTGTTTTATTCCCAGTGAAATTTTTGAAGGGCTTTCATTACATGACTTGAGAAGTATTTTCATGGGAAATATTGTTTAAAATGTTGATGAAAAATGTGGTGTAGAAGACATTAAATATACACCTTTCATGTCACTTTGCTTGGAATTTGACATATATAAATATATCCAAAAACACTGAGAGACTTGTTTTTCCCTGTTGTTTCTCATGATCTTCTCTTTGTTCAAATTTATAAAATGTGTTTTTTTAATTGTAAAAGTCATATAAGTAAAATTTGGAAGATATGGAAAAGTACAAAGCCAAAATCTATATATATTTTAAAAGAGTGTGTAAACTGTTTATTTCTCTAATGTAATTATTACATGCATATATAATATAAAGGTATATACATATACATATATACAAATATATATATTATGTAAGCAAGTAAAAATTACACTTTACATGTAGTATTATATGTGTTATTGGCCTTTTAAACTTAATATTTTCATTTTATTATATATTCTTTGAAAACCAAATTATTAGTGAGCACCTTGTTTCTCCCAAGACCTGGAGCGAACCTGGGGAGAAGCCAGGAGACAATGGAGGGAAAACACTCCAAGAAAATCTGCAGGCATTTTTCACAGATGTGGGACTGAAGGAAGGATGCCATTTTCAATTCAGGCTCATGACAAAGTCAGTCAGTGTTTGACAACCCAGCTGTAGTGGCCACCGTAGATATTTTAATCTCTGCCCAGAAATTGGAGTGCTTGTTCTGTAGTGGGGGAAGAGCCCCCCACAGCCAGAACTGAGTGGCTGTTGCAGTGCACCCCCAGAGTAAGTGCTAAAATTGTGCTATCTCCTGTCATTGGACTGGAGTGGGAGGACAGTTGCTGAAGCCATGGTTTATCTTGGGCAGGGTGATTTGTGGCCAGGAGAAACAGCTTTGTGGCATAGGGACCATCTGCATATGTCATTACTGGATGCCCCAGCCTGTTATCCTAGTTAGTCAGAAGACTGTTCACCACCAATACTGAGGAGTGGGAGGGAGGTGGATCCCATTTGTGCTCACTTAGATGGGAGCGTGAGCCACATCTTTATTCCCTTGCAAATAACTTAATCTAGTGTCACCCCCGCTGCTCGATGCCTGGGCACATTTCCAGGCATTCAGAGCACTTGCTTCCCTGAAATAGGGGCCTGAGCTGCCCTTCCCTTCCCCTGCAAAGACCTAGTTGTAGCAGCAGTTCCTCTGCTCTGCAGCAGCTACTCTACTTCTTGCCGGGTGACATATTTCCAGGCAACTGGCATACCTGCTCACCTGGATTAGGTGACTGAATTGCCCTTTCCTTCCTGCGAAGAGATCTTAGTGCAGTGGCACCCTGTCTGCTCTATGCCCCGGCATAATTCCAACCATTCAGTCCACTATCTTGACTGGATTAGAAGCCTGTGTCATCCCTCTCTCCAGGTCGGAAATCTTGGTACAGTGGCGCCCTCTTCCATCCACACTCAGGCATAATTCCAGGCATTCAGCACAGCTGCTTGCTTGGATTAGAATCTGAGCCTCTCCTCCCTTTCTGTGCATAGATTTTGGTGCTGCAGTACCATCTCTGCTCCACACCCAGGCGTACTTCCAAGCATTTAATGTACTCACTTGCCTGGAGGAAAAGCCTGGGCTGACTCTCCCTTTTCATGTGGAGATCTGGATACATTGGAACCCCCTCTGCTCCATGCCCAGACATATATCCGGGCATTTGGAACACTCACTCTTCTAGATTATGAATTCAGGCTGCCCCTCCCTTCCTGGAGAGCCAACTTGGGACAGTGGAGTTATCTCCACTCTACACCTTGGCACTTGTCTGGGCACTTGGCAGCTGCCCATCAGATACCCACCCCTTGGAGCTGGTGTTTGCACCTGCCATTGGGTGACATGTAGGCGAGCCTGCTTGGCATAGCCCCATTCAGCTTGGTTCCCCACTCCAGGGCTAAGCTGGGAACTGAGACTACTATCCATTTCACAGGACACACCATTGGCTGAGGCAACAGTGAGCTTCTCAAGGTTAACAAAGATCATGCATAGGGAGATGTGTGTTGACTGCAGCCAGATCCAACCCATATTGCCACCTACTGGTGTAGACATCAAGCTGCACAACCAAACAAAAAATCTGACACCAGTGCACAGCACTAGGGAATGAGATAAGCTTCCTGAGACCTCCCCATTCTGACTCCACAGGAGGCAGTGAGCACACTCACATGTCCAGCAAATTGCTACTACAACTAGCATTTAAGAAAGTCACCATACAAAAGATATCTATAACCAAGAAACTTACATAGTCTTTGCCACTAAAGCACCTGGAACCAAAGCCAAAGAACTCTACACAATGCATATTATAGCCACACCCTCAAGGGGGAAAATCTTACTCAAATGAAAGCAAATCCAAAAATGAGAAGAGGAGATAGCTAATCAGATAAGAAGGAACCAGAGAGATAATCCTGGAAGAATGAAAACACAGAGTGTTAAAACACTAACTGCCCAGCAATGGATCCTAATTAAAATGAAATCTTTGAAATACCAAATAAAGAATTCAAAATGTTTATTTTAAAGAAATTTAATGAGACCCAAAAGAAAATTGAAAGCCAATACAAATAAATCATAAAACAATTCAGAATATGAAAGAAGAGACATATATGGTTTTATAAAACTTCTGAAAAAAAGATGTGTTGACAGAATTACAAAATATAGCTGTAAGCTTTAACAATAGGCTAGTATAAGCAAAATAAAAGATTTTAGAACTAGATGGCAGGTCTTTCAAATTAACCTATTTGAACAAAAATTCAAAAGAGATTTTAAAAAAAGCTTTTGATAAATATTGGATTATGTAAAGCCTTCAAAACTATAAGTAGTAACTATTCCAGAGATAACAGAAAAATTGTAAAATAAAACATATGGAAAATATATTCTAGGGAATAATTGAGAAAAACTTTTCTGGTCTTGTTAAAGTTCTAGACATCCAGATACAATATATTTAAAGAATTCTTGGGAGATACATTGCAAGAAGGAACTCATCAAGGAATATAGTCGTCAGACTATACAAAGTCAACAAGATAGAAAAAAATTCTAAAATGGGCAAGAGAGAAACATCTAATCACCTATGAAGGAAATACCATCAGACTAACAGCAGACATATCAGCAGAAACATTACAAATGAGAAGACATTAGGGTCCCATTTACAGTCTTTTTAAAGAAGAAAAAGTGCAAGCCAAGAATTTTGTATCTTGCTAAACTAAGTTTCCTAAATGAAGGAAAAATAAAGTTGCTCCGAGTCAAGAAAACACCAAGGGAATTTGTCACCACTAGATCAGTCCTAAAAGAAATGCTCAAACGAGTTAAAAATGGAAATGGAAGGGGTATACTTGTCATCATAAAAACGTGCAGGTCACATAAAGTAATTACACAATTGAGACTGCAAAGCAAATATGTAATAACATTATGGCAAGAAGAAAACCTCTCATATCAATATTAACTTTAAAGGTAAAGGGCTATATGCTCCACTTAAAATATGTCAGTTGGCAGAATGGATAAAAATATAAAAACTTTTTAAACATAAGCTGCATACAAAAAAACCCGCCTGATATGGTTTGGATCAGTGCCCCCACCAAATCTCATGTAGAATTGTAATCCTCAGTGTCAGAGCAGGGGCCTGGTGGGAGGTGATTTGATCATAGGGGTGGGTTCTCATAAATGGTTTAGCACCACCCACTTGGTACTGTTCTCATGATAGTGCGTTCTTGTGAGATTTAGTTGTTTAAGAGTGTGGCGGCCAGGTGTGGTGGCTATGCCAGTAATACCAGCACTTTGGGAGGCCAAGGTGGGCGGATCATGAGGTCAGGAGATTGAGACCATCCTGGCTAACATGGTGAAACCCCATTTAGGATTGTTTTACATAATTCTCTGAAGAATCACCTTGGTAGTTTGATAGGAATTGCATCGAACCTGTGGATCGCTTTGGGCAGTACAATTTAAAGATACTGATTCTTCTGATCCATGATCATGAGATACTTTTTCCACTAGTTTGTGTCATATATGATTTATTTAATCAATGTTTTGTAGTTCTCTTTGTAGAGATCTGTCATTTTCTTGGTTAAATATATTCCTAGGTATAATTTTTAGCAAATTTTAAATAGAGAGAGAAGGTGCTACACACTTTTAAATGACCAGATCTCATGATAACTCACTTACTATGGTGACCAAAGAAGATGGTGCTAAATGATTTATGAGAAACTACCCTCGTGATCCAATCACCTCCCAACCTCCTGTTGGGGATTGGGGATTACATTTCAACATGAGATTTGGGTGGGGACACAGGATTCAAACCATATCAGTGATTTACCATATAAAAGAATTAAAAACAAAAACCACAGAATCATCTCAAAAGATTGAGAAAAAAACATTTAATAAAATTTGTCATTTTTTTCATGACAAAAACCCTTGCCAAACTAGGAATAGAAAGAACATACTTAAAATAATAAAAGCCATGTATAACAAACCCACAGGCAACATTAAACAGAATGGGGAAAAGCACTTCCCCTAAGAAATGGAACAAGACAAGGATACCTACTTTCACCACTGCTATTCAACATAGTACTGGAAGTTCTAGCTATGGCAATCAAGCAAAAGGAAAAGATGAAAAACATTTAAATTGGAAAAGAGAAAGTCAAATTATCTCTGTCCGCTGTTGATATACTCTTATACCTAGTAAACTCTAAAGACTTCTGCAAAAGACTTTTAGATTTGATAAATTACTTCAGTAAATTTTCAGGATATAAAATCAACATACAAAAATCAGTAGCATTTCTATACACCAATACCAGTCAAGCTGAGAACCAAAACAAGAACTCAATCCCATTTAAAATTTGCTAAAAATTATACCTAGGAATATATTTAACCAAGAAAATGACAGATCTCTACAAGGAGAACTACAAAACATTGATTAAATAAATCATATATGACACAAATTAATGGAAAAAGTATGTAATGCTCATGGATCAGAAGAATCAGTATCATTAAATTGTACTGCCAAAGCAACCTACAGGTTCAATGCAATTCCTGTCAAAGTACCAAGGTCATTCTCCAGAGAATTATGTAAAACAATCCAAAAAATTCATCTGCAAAGAAAAAAAGCCCAAATAGTCAAAGTAATCTCAAGCAAAATGAAAAAAGCTCTAGGCATCACATTACCTGACTTCAAATAATATTATAAGGTTATAGTAACCAAAACAGCACAGTACTGGTATAAAAATAGACACATCAATTAATGGAACAGAATAGAGAACTAGAAATAAAGACATATCTACAACCATATGATTTTTGACAAAGTCCATGAAAATACGCACTAGTAAAAGAACATGCTATAAAATAAATGGTGGTGGAAAAAACGGATACTCACATGCTGAGGAATGAAGCTGGACTCCTATCTTACACCATATACAAACTAACTCAAGATGAATTAAAGTTTAAAGATAAAATTTCTAGTAGAAAACCTAGGAAAAACTATGGCCATTTCTCTAGGCAAACAATTTATGAATAAGTTCTCAGAAGGACACACAACGAAAACAAAAATAAACAATTGGGATTTAAATAAACTAAGCATGCAAAAGAAATAGTCAACAAAGTAAACAGACAGCCTACACATGTGAGAACATATTTGCAAACGGTACCTCCAACAGAGTGTTAATATCCAGAATTTACTGGGAACTCAAACTACTCAACAACAAAAAAAACAAAAACTTCATTAAAAAGTGGGCAAAGGACATGAACAGACATTTTACAAAGGAAGACATACAAGTGGCCAGCAAACATATTAAAAGATGCTTAACATCACTTATCATCTGAGAAATGCACTTTTTTTTTTTTTTTTGAGATGGAGTCTCGCTCTGTCACCCAGGATGGAGTGCAGTGGCGTGATCTCGGCTCACTGCAAGCTCTGCCTCCTGGGTTCACACCATTCTCTTGCCTCAGCCTCCCGAGTAGCTGGGACTGCAGGTGCCCGCCACCACACCCGGCTACTTTTTGTATTTTTAGTAGAGACGGGGTTTCACCGTGTTAGCCAGGATGGTCTTGATCTCCTGACTTCGTGATCCGCCTGCCTTGGCCTCCTAAAGTGCTGGGATTACAGGCCTGAGCCACCGCGCCCAGCCTAGTAATTCTTAAATGTGTTCCTGTGGACAGGTGCTACCTTCTGAGTGGAGACTGATCAAGCTAATACCTCTCTTGAAATTATCAATAGAGTGGCTCCTGTATTATTGCCCATGCCGGAAGACATTATTTTTCTTGTTTTTCCTACATGACCTTTGTATCCGTTCTTTATTCTTAAAGTTTAGTGAATTTTTAAAATGTACCTTGGTTTTGTTATATATGTTACTTTTATTTCTTCTTTTTTCTTTTTTTCTCTTTTTGACATTAAGCAAGCTATACCTTCCTTTGGTTCACATGTTCTGCCATTAAGTCAGTCATTACAGATAAGCTTCCTTCAATTATTAAGTGATTGGCTTTCAATCTACATATAAAATCGTATCGCTTTACTCAGAGGTGCTTAAATAACACATGTATGGTTAATTGCTTGGCAGCAAAACCCCAAATCATTTGCTCTGATGGTTTCACGGCAGGGATTTATGCCCATTTTCAAAAAGTACATGGGCTATTGTGGTAGAACTATTGGAACATTCTAATACATGGTTTTGTAATGTTGGAAACTGTGAGAATACCTTCAAAATGATTATTGCCTTTTAAAAGTACGGTGTTATATATGAAGGGAATAACATTAGAAATCAGTGCTGGAATATTAAAAAATAGTATTCTAGTCATTTTAAAGCTGAGTACCTTGCTAAGTTTAAAATTTCAGTCAAATTTGTGCAACATAATCACAGACCTTTTACAAGAGTGTCATTTGAACTAATCTGTTAGCCTTGTCCAAATTAGTCCAATTGTTTATAAGGTATTAAATGCACTACAAAGCCTAACATGTTTGCTATGCTCCATAATCATAGCACCTGTTAAACAGCCTACTGCAGCTGTACTTTTAGCAGATTACAGGCCATTAGGCAAGTTATACAGTATCTTCTTTTTATAACTTAATTTCTCTTCTTTTGCATAGTGACTTTCTGGATCATAAAATGAGAACTTTTTCCCAGCCTTTCACGATTGAGATGAGGATAGTGGTTTTAAAATTATTAGGATGCTCAGATACAACTTGCAAATGCTGTGGTAAAATGCAGTAGTAAAATATTTCATTAACTTTTAATTCAATTTAATATTGTTTTCTTCCCCCATGGGACTGGATGTCTTTAGATTTATCATGCTCTTTTTGGAATAGTTTCTTGAAGAAAAGTTAAAAGTAAAACTATAGAGTAAGAAAACACAAAAGCTTATACTAATTTTTTTTTCAGGATCCAAACAGTGGCCAAATGGAAGAAACATCTGGCATCTATTTTATTCCCTCATTAATTTTTTAAGCATTTGCAGGTTGTCTAAATCATCAAAACTCTTCCGTGTATGCAGACACATACACACAAAATTATCTTTAGAGTAATAAAGAATGTAAAATAGGTAAGGCAATTTATTCTCTTATTCCAGATGCAACAGGAACTCATAGCTTTAGACATTCTGTTTGGTACTTGCAATAAAATGCTGAGAAAATCTAACTTAACTAATGTATGTTCCCTGTTCTCATGAAGCTTACAGTTTCCTGGGGATGACAAAATAAATAAATGAATAAGAAAAACAAATAGCAATGATGTTATATATATGCCCACTCTATAAATGCATATATATATATATAATATATCAATATCATAGCATATCTACACATTATTTAACTGCGAAGCAGAAATGTTTGAATATGTACAAACACACCACAAAAAAAAAAAAACAAAACAAAACAGGAAGGCCACAGTGTGCCATGGCTCATCATAAACCTAGAGAAGTAATATATTTATTGAAATTTATTGTTAAAGAGGTGACATAGGAGTAGGGTATATGGGGTAGGAAATACAGAATTTTTCTTGGGAGAAGAACCACAGAAGCAGAATTTCTGTGGTAAAAGTTGCACAGGGAAGTTGGAAAATTGAGAGAAGATGAGTATAAATGGACCACAGAAACAAGTGGGTAGATTGCACTGGGTGATCCTACAGAGATTCTCTGTGACCAGTTCATTTAGCATTTTGTAATCAGAGTTGTTTTCAGTCTTTATCTCAGGCGCAACGGAAAACTGGAAGTGCCTTTCAGCCAGGGTGTCAGATGATCAAATTTGCATTAAACATTCATTTGGCTGCTGATACGGTTTGGCTGCTGATATGCTTTGGCTGTGTTCCCACCCAAATCTCATCTCATCTTGAATTGTAGCTCCCATAATTCCTACATGTTGTGGGAGGGATCCAGTGGGAGACAATTGAATCATCGAGGCAGTTCACCCCATACTGTTCTCGTAGTAGTGAATAAGTCTCACGAGATCTGATGGTTTTTTAAGAAGTGTCCCTTTTCACTTGATTCTCATTCTCTCTTGTCTGCTGCTAAGACCTCCCTTTCGCCTTTTGCCATGATTGTGAGGCCTCCTCAGCTACATGGAACTGTGAGTCCATTAAACCTTTTTTGGTTTCTAAATTGCCCAGTCTCAGGTACGTTTTTATCAGCAGCATGAAAACAGAGTAATACAGCTGCTGTACGGAGAATGAAAATGGAGAAGGGAAAATGGTGTGTAATAAATACATATATAGTCATGGAACCAGGCCATGGAAGATCTCATTCAGCTACAAATTTTAATTAGGAAATTGATTTCTACATCATCCTTTCTGGAGTTTTCATATGATTTTAAAGGTAGATTTATGTGGCCGGGCGCGGTAGCTCATGCCTGTAATCCCAGCACTTTGGGATGCCGAGGCGGGCGGATCACGAGGTCAGATCAAGACCATCCTGGCTAACACGGTGAAACTCCGTCTCTACTAAAAATACAAAAAATTAGCCGGGCATGGTGGCAGGCGCCTGTAGTCCCAGCTACTCGGGAGGCTGAGGCAGGAGAATGGCGTGAACCCGGGAGGCGGAGCTTGCAGTGAGCCGAGATTGTGCCACTGCACTCCAGCCTGGGCAACAGTGTAAGACTCCGTCTCTAAAAAAAAATTTTAAAAAAAGGTAGATTTATGTGATCCTAACATAAAAAAAAAAGACCCATTGGAACAATGGCACTGTGGGAGTGAATAAGAATTTGAATAAGAAAAAATCTGAGAGCAATTATGACACACTATGCCATTTATGATATTTAAGATGTCAATAATATCAATATTTCTGGGTTTGAAACAACTGGAAGGTTGGGAAAGAAGAGTGGCAGAAGATAATCAAGTTAGCGTCTTTACCAATGGTAAAGCCATAGGGGAGGTCACGGTTTACCCGGCCAAATGGCTCAGGGAAATGGTACTCAAAAGTGAAAACCAAGGTGTAGAGCAAGATGGCAAAAGAGAAGCCTACACCATTTGTCCCCCTGATGGAACACCAAGTTTTAACCACTATCTGCATTTAGAAAACATTGTCACAAGAACCAAAAATTAGGTGAACAAACACAGTAACTATTTTGAACTTCATATTGCTAAAAGAGGCATTAAGGAGGGTAGGAGAGACAGGTTTGAATCACTGACGCCACACTTCTCTCATCCCCCAGTAGCAGCCAAGTAGCCCTGAGAAAGAAACTTCACATTTTGGGGAGGGAGAGGACCGTGACTGGGGGACTTTATTGAACTCAGAGCTGCACTGTCACAGTGAAGAATAAAGCCATGCTGGGCTCAGCTGGCACTCATGCATGGAGGGAGTATTTGGACCAGCTCTAGCCAGAGTGGAACCGCTTGTGCCAGCAGTCAGAACTTGAGTTTCTTGGCGAGCCTTGCCACCGTAGGCTCTGGGCTCCTAGGTAAACTTGAAAAGCAGTCTAACACACAAGGACTGTGGTACCTAGGCAACTCCTAATGCTAGGCTTGGCTTAAAGCCAGTGTAGTAGGATGGCACATGACCTAGGGAGACACCAGCTGGCACAGCTGTAAGAATGCTTGCACCATCCCTTTTCCAATCTTAGGCAGTGAATCTTGCAGCAATAAAAGTGACTCCTTCCTTTTGCGTAAGAAGATGAGAGACTGGGCATGGTGGCTCATGCCTGTAATCCCAGCACTTTGGGAAGCCAAGGTGGGTGGATTACTTGAGGTCAGGAGTTCGAGACCAGCCTGGCCAACATGGTGAAACCCCATCTTTACCAAAAATACAAAAAATAGCCAGGTGCAGTGGTGTGCGTCTGTAGTCCCAGCTACTCAGGAGGCTGAGGCAGGAGAATTGCTTGAACTCAATAGGTGGAGGTTGCAGTGAGCCGAGATCATGCCACTGCACTCCAGCTGGGCAGCAAGGTCGAAAGTCCATCTCAAAAAAAAAAAAAAAAAAAAAAAAAAAAAAAAAAAAAAAAACAGAATGAGAATAAGTACATGATAGTGAAGAGTAAAGAGGAATTTGTCTTGCATCTTGGATACCAGCTCAGCAACAGTAAGATAGGGCAATAGAAAGAGTCATGAGGTCCCCATCCATTCCATATCCCAGCTCCTGGACAACATTTCTAGACACACTGAGGGCCAAAAGGAAATCTTCTGCCTTGAAGTAAAAGATCCAGTCTTGGTTGTTGCTGACTAAAGAGAAATTGGACCCCGAATAACCAGCAGTGATATGCAGGGAATGCGCTGTGGGCTCTTGTGGCTATAGTGAAAGACTCCTTATGTCTGAGAGAAACAAAGCAAAAAGTAAAGGAGACTTTGTTTTCCACATTAGGTACCATCTCAGCCACAGTAGGATAGAGCAACAAGCAGGCTTTTGGAGTGCCTGAGTTCAGACCCATTCTCCTGGATAGCATTTCTGGACCTGCCTTGGGCCAGAGAGGACTGCACAGCCATGAAGATGAGTTCCAGGCCTGGCAGCTTTTAGCACAAGATGACAGAAGAGACCTTGGACTTCAATTGAACATCAGCAGTCATCTGGCAAAACTTCCATGGACCAGCGCTGGTGGTGGACATAGGGATAAGCTCCTCTGCTTGTGGAAAGAGGAAGAAAGAGCAGGAAGGACTCATATTGTGGTATGAATATCAGCTTATCCACAGTAAAATAGAACATGTAAATTGCTAACTAACGTTTCTGACTCTAATCCCTGACTCCCAGACAGCATCTCTGGACGTGCTTGGGGCCTGGGGGAACTCATGGCCTTATAGGAAAGGGTTTTAGGCAAGACCCAGTACTGTGCTGGCTTTAAGTCTGACCCAGTGCAGTCTCAGTGATAATGGCCACAGGGGTCCTTTCACCAGAACACCCCCAGCTCCAGGTGTCTCAGCACAGAGTGAGACAGAGAGAGAGACAGTTTGTTTGTTTGGAAGAAAATAAGAGAAAATAACTAGACTCCTTCCAATAATCCAGATAATTCTTCCAGCATTTACCCAAGACCACCAAGGCAGTATCTCCATGAGTCTGCAAAAACCACGGCATTATTGGTACTCAAAGGGCCTAACTAAGCCCCTTCAAATACCAGGAAAGCCTTCCCGAGAAGAACAGGCACAAACAAGCCCAGAATGTGAAAACTACAATAAATATCTCACTCTTCAATGCCTTGACACCAGTGAAAATCAAGAAGCATCAACACCATCCAGGAAAACATGACCTCACCAAATGAATACAATAAAGCACCAGGAACTAGTTCTGGAGAAATAGAGGTATATGACCTTTCAGACAGAGAATTCAAAATAGCTCTATTGTGGAAATTCAAATGAATTCAAGACAACATAGAGAAACAAGATCAGAATTCTATTAGATAAATTTAACAAAGAAATTGAAATAAGTAAAAGAGTCTAGCAGAAAAATCTAGAGTTAAAAATGCAACTGACACAATGAAGAATGCATCAGAGTTTATTAATTTTAGAATTGATTAAGCAGAAGAAAGAATTAGTGAGCTTAAAGACAGGCTATTTGAAAATACATACACAGAGGAGATTAAAGAAAAGAGGAAAAAAATAAAGCACACCTACAAGATCTAGAAAAAATAGCCTCAAAAGGGTGAATCTAAGATTTGTTGGCTTAGAGAAAGAGGTTCGAGTACAGTAGAAAGTTTACTGAAAGGGACAATATCAGAGGACTTCCCAAACCTAGAGAAAGATATCAACATTCAAAAACAAAAAGGTTATAGATCACAAAGCAGATTTAACCCAAATAAGACTATCTCATGACATTTAATAATGAAACTCCTAAAGATCAAGGATGAAGAAAGGATCCTAAAAGCAGCAAGAGAAAAATAACATGTAATGGAGCTCCAATATGTCTGGCAACAGACTTTTCAGTGGAAAGGAGCAAGTATCGTGACATATTTAAGCTGCTGAATGAAAAAAAAACAAAAAAAAACAAAAAAACTTTTACCCTACAATAGTATATCCAGTGAAAATATCCCTCAAACTTGAAGAAGAAATAAAGACCTTCCCAAACAAACAAAAGCCAAGGGATTTCATCAGCACCAGACCCGCCCTACAAGTAATGTTGAAGGGAGTACTTCAGTCTGAACAAAAAGGATGTTAATGATCAAGAAGAAATGACCTGAAGGCACAAAACTCACTGGTAACAGTAAGCACACAGAAAAACGAAGAGCATTAGTCTGTTTTCACACTGCTGATAAAGACACACTAGAGACTGGGCAATTTACAAAAGAAAGATGTTTAATTGGACTTACAGTTCCACGTGGCTGGGGAAGCCTCACAATTATGGTGGAAACCAAGGAGGAGCAAGTCCCATCTTACATGGATGGCAACAGGCAAAGAGAGAATGAGGAAGATGCAAAAGCAGAAACCCCTGATAAAATCATTGGATCTCATTTGACTTATTCACTACCATGAGAACATTATGGGGGAAACAGCCTTCATGATTCAATTATATCCCACTGAGTCTCTCTGACAACACATGGGAATTATGGGAGTACAATTCAAGATGATATTTGGTTGGGAGCACAGAGCCAAACCATATCACAAAGAATAGTATAACACTGTAATTGTTGTGTGAAAACTACTCTTATCTTATGTAGAAAGACTAGATGATGAACCAATAAAAATAATAACTAAAACAGAATTTCAAGACATAAAGAGAAACAACAAAAAATTAAAAAATGAAGAGAAAAGTTACAATGTAGAGTTTTTATTATTTGTGTGTGTGTCCGTTTGTGTGTTTGTGTTAGTGTTGTTAACAGGTTAAAATAATGGGTTTTAGGATAGTATTTACAAGCTTCATTGTAACCTAAAATTGAAAAACATACAACAAATACACACACACACACACACACACACACACACACACACATAAAGTTAAAACACACCACCAGAGAAATTCACGTTTATGAAAATGAAGACAGGAAGGAAGAGAAGACTGCAAAGAAACCAGAAAACAAATAACAAAATGGCAGGAGTAAGTCCTTACTTATCAATAATAATATTAAATTTAAATGAGCTAAACTCTTCAATCAAAATACACAGACTGGCTGAATAAATGAAAAAACAAGACCCAATCATCTGTTGCCTACAAGAAACACACTTTGCTTATAAATATCCCTATACACAGAAAATGAAGGGATAAAAATGATATCTAATGCCACTAGAAACCAAAAAAGAGCAAGAGTAGCTATACTTAGACAAAATAGATTTCAAGATAAAGACTGTAATATGAGACAAATAAGGTAATTATATAATAATAAAGGGTTCAATTCAGGAAGAGGATATGACTGTGAATATATGTGTACCCAACAGCAGAGTACTCAGATATATGAAGCAAATACTATTAGAAATAAAAAGATAGACTCCAATACAGTAATAGCTGGAGATTTCAACACCCTACTTTCAATATTGAACTTATCTCCAAGACTGAAAATCAACAGAGAAATGACAGACTCAGTGTGTTCTATAAGTCAAATGAATCTAATAGATATTTGCAGAACATTTCATCCAATAGCTTCAGAATACACATTGTTCTCCTCACATATGAATCATTCTCAAGGATAGGCAATGTGTTAGGTCAAAAACAACAAGTCTTAAAACAGTAAAAAAAAAAAAAATAAAATAATATCAAGCATCTCATCTGACCATGACAGAATAAAACAAGAAATCAAAAACAAGAGGAATTTTGGAAACTATACAAACACATGGAGATTAAACAATATGCTCCTGAATGATCTGTGGACAAATGAAGAAATTAAGAAGGAATTTGAAAAAGTTCTTGAAAGAAATGACAATGATAATGGACACAAAATACCAAAACCTGTGAGATACAGTGAAAGCAGTACTAAGAGGGGAATTTATAAGTGACCACATCAGAAAAGAAGAAAAACTTTGGATAAATAACCCAATGATGCATTTTAAAAAACTAGAAAAGGAAGAACAAATCAAACCCAAATTAGAAGAAAAAATAGTAAGAATCAGAGCTGAAATAAATTATTTTGAAATGAAGACACATGCACACGTATGTTTATTGCGGCATTATTCACAATAGCAAAGACTTGGAACCAACCCAAATGTCCAACAATGATAGACTGGATTAAGAAAATGTGGCACATATACACCATGGAATACTATGCAGCCATAAAAAATGATGAGTTCATGTCCTTTGTAGGGACATGGATGAAATTGGAAACCATCATTCTCAGTAAACTATCGCAAGAACAAAAAACCAAACACCGCATATTCTCACTCATAGGTGGGAATTGAACAATGAGATCACATGGACACAGGAAGGGGAATATCACACTCTGGGGACTGTGGTGGGGTCGGGGGAGGGGGGAGGGATAGCATTGGGAGATATACCTAATGCTAGATGACACGTTAGTGGGTGCAGCGCACCAGCATGGCACATGTATACATATGTAACTAACCTGCACAATGTGCACATGTACCCTAAAACTTAAAGTATAATAATAATAATAAAAAAAGAAAAAAAAAAAAAAAGAAATGAAGAAAATGATACAAAACATCAGTGAAACAAAAAGTAGGTTTTTTTTGGAAAAGATAAACAAAATTGTCAAACTTTTGTCGAGACTAAGAAGAAAATGAGAGAGGACCCAAATAAATAAAATGAAAAATAAAAAGATGTTACAACTGCCTCTGCAGAAATTCAAAGGATCATTAGTGGCTAATGTGAGCAACTATATGACAGTAAATTGGAAAATCTAGAAGAAATGGATAAATTCATAGACACATACAACCTATCAAGATTGAACCATGAAGAAGAAGTTCAAAACCTTAACAAGACCAATAACAAGTAATGAGATCAAAGCCATAATTAAAGGTCTTCCAGTTAAAAGAAAAGAAAAGAAAAGAAAAAAAGCATAGGGCCAGATATGGTGGCTCATGCCTGTAATCCCAGCACTTTGGGAGGCCGAGGTGGGCAGATCAGTTGAGGTCAGGAGTTCAAGACCAACCTAGTCAAACATAGTGAAACCTCATCTTTACTAAAAATACGAAAAATTAGCTGGGTATGGTGGCACATGCCTGTAATCCCAGCTACTCAGGAATCTGAGGCAGAAGACTTGCTTGAACTTGGGAGGCAGATGTTGCAGTGAGCCAAGACTGCGCCACTGCACTTCAGCGTGGATGACAGAGTGAATCTCCGTCCCCAAAGAAAAACAAACAAACAAAAAAACAGAAAAAAGAAAAGAAAAAAGAAAAGTATGGGACCTGATATCTTCACTCCTGAATTATCTACACTTAAAGAACTGGTACCAATCTTACTCAAACTCTTTCAAAAAAATAGAGGAGGATATAATACTTTCAAACTCATTCCATGAGCCTAGTATTACCCTGATACCCAAATCAAAGACACATCCAAAAAAAAAAAAAAAAAAGAAGAAGAAGAAAACTGCAGGCCAGTATCTCTGATGAATATTGATTCAGAATTTCTCAAAAAGTACTAGCAAACTGAATTCAACAATGCATTAGAAAGATCATTCATCATGACCAAGTGGTATTTGTCCCAGGGATGCCAGGATGGTTCAACGTATACACATCAATCAATGTGACACACTATGTCAACAGAATAAAGTAAAAAACCATAGAATTATTTTAGTTAATGCTGAAAAAGCATTTAATAATGTTCAGTATCCCTTCATGAGAACCCTCAAAAAACTGGGGCTAAAAAGAACATACTTTAACATAATAAAAACCCTATATGACATACCCACAGCTAGTTTCACACTGAATGAGGAAAAACTGAGAGCCTCTTTCCTTAACTCTTGAAAATTACAAGGATGCCCACTTTCACCACTGTCATTAAACATAGCACTGGAGGTCCTAGCTAGAGTAATCAAACAAGGGAAAGATGTAAAGGGCATCCAAATTGGAAATGAAGAATTCAAATTATCCTTGATTGCAATGATACAATCTTATATTAGAAGAAAAAAAACCTCAAGACTCCACCAAAAATTTATTAAAGTATAAACAAATTCAGTAAATTTGCAGGCTACAAAATCAGCATACATAAGTCAATAGCATTTTTATATGCCAACAGTGAACAATCTAAAATAATAAAAAAGATAATTCCATTTATAATAACCACAAATAAATGCCTAGAAATTAACTAAAGACATGAAAGATCTTTATAATAAAAACTATATAACACTGATGGAAGAAATTGAAAAGGACACCAAAAAAAAGGAAAAATATTTCATGTTCATGGATTGGAAGATTCAATATTGTTAAAATGTCCACACTACCCAAAGAACTCTACAGATTGAATGCAATTCCAATCAAAATACCAATTACATTCTTCATAGAAATTGAAAAATGTCCTAAAATTTATGTGGAATCACAGAAATGCAGAATAGTCAAAGCTCTTCTGTGCAAAAGAACAAAATTTGAGGAATTATATTATCTGGCTTCAAATTATACTGCCTAGCTATATAAACAAAACAGCATAGTACTTGTATAAAAACGGGCACATAGACAAATGGAACAGAATAGAGAACTCAGGAACAAATCCACACACCTTCAATAAACTCATTTTAGACAAAGGTGCCCTGAACATACACTGGGGGAAAGAGAGTCTATTCGTTAATGGTGCTGGAAAAACTGAATATCCATATGCAGAAGATGAAACTAGACCTCTCTCTCTTTCCATACACAAAAAATAAAATCAAAGTGGATGAAAAAATGTAAATCTAATATCTCAAACTATGAAACAACTATAAGAAAACATTGGAGAAAATCTTCAGGCCATTGGTCTGGGTAAACATTTTTTGAATAATACCCCACCAACACAGGCAACCAAAGCAGAAATGTACAAATGGGATCACATCAAGTTAAAAAACTTCTGCACAGCAAGGAAACAATAAACAAAGTGAAGAGACAAACCACAGAATGGAAGAGAGTATTTCCAAACTACTCATCTCACAAGGAATTAAGAACTAAAATATGTAAGGAGCTCAAACAACTCTGTAGGAAAAAAAAATTAATAATTTGACATAAAAATGGACAAAATACATGAATAGATGTTTCTCAAAAGACATACAAATGGCAAACAGGCATACAAAAAGGTTCTCAACATCACTGATCATCAGAGAAATGCAAGTCAAAACTACAATGAGATATTATTTCACCCCAGAGCCTTTTATCTAAAAGTTAGGCAATAACAAATGCTGTAGAGGATGTGGAGAAAAGGGAACCCTCGTACACTCTTGGGTAGGAATTTAAATTTGCACAACCACTACGGAGAATAGTTTCAAGTTTCCTCAAGAAATTAAAATAGAGCTACACCATGTGATCCAGCAATCCCACTGCTGAATATATACTCATATATACTCACAAGAAAGCATATCAGTATATCAAATAGATATCGATACTCTCATGTTTGTTGCAGCGCTATTCACAATAGCCAAGATTTGAAAGCAATCTAAGCATCCTTCAAAAGGTGGATGGATAAAGAAAATATGATGCTTCTACACAATGGAGTACTATTCAGCCTTAAAAAATAATTAGATCCTGTCATTTGCAACAACATCGATGGAACTGGAGGTGATTATGTTAAGTGACGTAAGATAGGCTCAGAAAGACAAATGTCACACAATTTTCACTTATTTTGTGGGATCTAAAAATCAAAACAATTCAACTTACGGAGATAAAGAATAGAAGAATGGTTAGCATAGGCTGAGAATTATAATGTGGGTGTGATAGGGTGGAAGGTGGGATGGTTAATGGGTACAAAAAACAATAGTTAGAAAGAATAAATAATGCCTAGTATTTGATACCACAAGAGGGTGACTATAGTCAACATAATTTAATTGTACATTTAAAAATAATTAAAATACTCTAATTGGATCACTTTAACAAAAAATAAATGCTTGAGGGGATGGATATTCCATTCTCCATAATGTGATTATTATGCATTGCATTTCTGTACCAAATTTCACATATATATATTCATATATATAATATATAGTAGGTGCATATTTTTATGGATATATTTATAACCCATAAATATATACAACTACTATGTACCCATAAAACTTAAAAATTAAAAAAATTTAAAATAACTTAATAACCATATTTATTATGTTAAAGCAAGGCTGAATATTACTAAGGAAGATGGAAAGTGGGGCTGGACCTGTACAAGTTAAAATAGTGAAGTAGCACAAACATGCTCCTCTCTAGTAATTGCATACCCAAACAGAAGAAAGAATAGGAAGGAGTTGAGCCATGATTTCTTTGTGTTTCTCTCTCAAACTTGCCTGCAGATGACACACTCCTCTGGAAAGTGGGCTGGACCTGTACAAGTTAAAATAGTACAGTAACAAAAACATGCTCCTCTCTAGTAGTTGCACACCCAAACAGAAGAAAGAATAGGAAGGGGTTGAGCCATGCTTTCTTTGTGTTTCTCTCTCAAACTTGCCTGCAGATAACACACTCCTCTTCCTCTAAGAGTGAATTGGTGGAGAGAGGATTCCTAGTCTAATAAAGGACTCTTAATATTGAAAAAAAAAAAAAAGGAAAATTGGGTTCTACTCAATATTTTGCCTTTTTTCTGACCCACTGACTTAACTATTAACTGGAGTCTGGCTCTTTCTCTTTGTGAAGATCAGCAGTTTCTTAGGAAAATCCTTGCCCACTTTCCTAAGAACAATGAACCCTTCTTTGAATATGGGAGTATGTGTGGGCAGCATAAATTTTGCTTTCAGAGGCCAAGAAGTGGTTCTGAAGAGTAATTAATTAATTTATTTATTTAAATGAACTTCAAAGCAAAAAGATGAAATATGATGCATTCTGTTTCTTTGCTCAGATCATATCCTGTAGTATTGTCCAGTATGGCTCATTAAAGACAATATAAAGATCCAATATAGAAGACAATATAAGGATCCAATAATAAGATGCCAATTATATGGTGATGACCAAAATCTGACTCTCTCCTTATAAATTTCTCTGAGGAAAACTAAAACTACATAGCCTCTCCTTATCTACGATGCATATGTGCCAAGACCCCCAGTGGATGCTAAATCCTCCAATAGTACTGAACTCTATATACGCATGTCTTCTCTGTACATACATACTTACAAAAAAGTTTAATTTATAAACTAGCCACAGTAAGAGCTTAACAATAACTAATTACAAAATAGAACAATTACCATAGTATACTGTAATAAAAGTCATGTGAATGTGGTCTCTTTCTCTCTTGCTGTCTTTCTCTCTCCCTCTCAAGATGTCTTAAGGTTTTTGGACTGCAGTTAACCAAAGGTAACTAAAACCTCAGAAAGCAAAATCAAGAATAAGAGAAGACTGCAATTCCTTGTAAATTAAAATCCAAGGATAAGAGATTATGTTAAAAATAAAATTATTTTACTATGTTAAGTTAAAAGTACACATTACTAAATCATATTTATTTTAAAATAAAATTCAAAGAAGTTGAAGTTGTCCATAATTTCTTAGTATGCTTAGTTTCAGCCAGAATAATGCCTGGGTGGAATTGAGTTTGTTTGTTTGTTTTTTGAGACAGAGTCTCGCTCTGTCGCCCAGGCTGGAGTGCAGTGGCGCGATCTCGGCTCACTGCAAGCTCCGCCTCCTGGGTTCATGCCATTCTCCTGCCTCAGCCTCCTGAGTAGCTGGGACTACATGCGCCCACCACCACGCCTGGCTAATTTTTTGTATTTTTAGTAGAGACGGGGTTTCACCGTGTTAGCCAGGATGGTCTCCATCTCCTGACTTCGTGATCTGCCCGCCTCAGCCTCCCAAAGTGCTGGGATTACAGGCGTGAGCCACCGCACCCAGTCGGAATTGGGTTTGTTTTAATTAATGTGACCTAAATTCACTAATAAGAATCCCATAGTGTTTTTTTTTTCTTAGAGGCTCAAAATTTTAATTACTCCTTGTCAGTTTTGAGAATCTCCACGCTACAATGGTACAAAGAGTTAAAAGAACATGTATAATTATGAGAATAAGTTTATTTTTAAAATGCCACTTCTCAGCCTACAATTTACTTTTGCAAGGCAAAATTATTTTTCCAAAACATAGTACCTTTCTTTGTCAAAGCCCACACCAAAGTCTCAAAAGTCCTTTTTTAGACAATGTCAATATAACAGATTTCATCCTCAATGGAATGCCCAATAACCATCTGAACAGATGCTTCTGTTGATGTTCCCGAACTTTGTCACCCTAAGAGCCAACTGCAGATGAATATTTTCCCATATGCTCTCTAACCCGTTGCTGTTTTGAGCGTTCTAGTTTTTCATTTTATTTTTTCCTGGAACTCATTTCTTAAATTAGGTTCTGCCCCCTCTCTTTTTCATGTGGACTAGGATTATACGCTGGAATCACATGTTTAACTTTTGGTTTCCTTGCCTTTGCTTTTTGGCTGAGGCCATTTATTGTGTTTGTTTTTCTAATAGATACCTCTAGGCTTGGTCTGGTTGGTTTTCCGTCATGAAAGATATGAAATCTTACAATCCTGCTCACATTCAATTCTTTAAGATAAGTAATCCAGCCTGGAACGTATTCTGCTGTTAATAGCATCTAATCTAGGTCTAAACTTCATGCACCACTTTCCTTCTCAGCTCCCCCTTATAAGCTTTATCTCTACTGTTCCTTTGTCAACACTTCAACTTCCCTTTATTTCTGAGTCGTGTTTCCTCAGACACAGTACTTCTATGCTTACTCAAATAACTGTGACTTTTTAAAATTCCACCAAGTACTATATTAAATTTTTATGCTGGTCATCCTGAGTTTTCCTTTAAATTCCATCCAGAGTTTCTGCTATCACTTGGTATAACTGCAAATCCTCAAGAAATAGTTTCCTAACTGCCGTGATTATGGATTTTTTTCCCCTTACATCAATTGACCATTTTAAAAATGAACTTAATTGAGTTATAAATTACCTATACAGATATTTATAAAATACATTTAATGAACTGTAAAACATAGAATGTACAGATGTTTTAGCAAAAGTATATTCTCATATACTATGTAACCACCACATCAATCAATATATAGAATATTTTTATTGTCTTAGAACGTTCCTTCAAGTTTCTTACCACAGGGAAATCACTTATCTGATATTTATTATCATAGATTATTTTGCTTATTCTTTTTTTATTATTATACTTTGAGTTTTAGGTTACATGTGCACAACGTGCAGGTTTGTTACATATGTATACATGTGCCATGTTGGTGTGCTGCACCCATTAACTCATCATTTAGCATTAGGTATACCTAATGTTATCCTCCCCCCTCCCCCCACCCCACAACAGTCCCTGGTGTGTGATGTTCCCCTTCCTGTGTCCAAGTGTGCTCATTGTTCAATTCCCACCTATGAGTGGACAACATGTGGTGTTTGGTTTTTTGTCCTTGGGATAGTTTGCTGAGAATGATGGTTTCCAGCTTCATCCATGTCCCTACAAAGGACATGAACTCATCCTTTTTATGGCTGCATAGTATTCCATGGTGTATATGTGCCACATTTTCTTAATCCACTCTATCATTGATGGACATTTGGGTTGGTTCCAAGTCTTTGCTATTATGAATAGTGCCACAATAAACATACGTGTGCATGTGTCTTTATAGCAGCATGATTTATAATCCTTTGGGTATATACCCAGTAATGGGATGTCTGGGTCAAATGGTATTTCAGTTCTAGGTTCTTAAGGAATCGCCACACTGTCTTCCACAATGGTTGAACTAGTTTACAGTCCCACCAACAGTGTAAAAGTGTTCCTATTTCTCCACATCCTCTCCAGCACCTGTTGTTTCCTGACTTTTTGATGATCGCCATTCTAACTGGTGTGAGATGGTATCTCATTGTGGTTTTGATTTGCATTTCTGTGATGGCCAGTGATGATGAGCACTTCTTCATGTGTTTTTTGGCTGCATATTCTAAAACTTCATTCAAACCAAACAATACAATAGGTCCTTTTTTGGGTTTGGAATAATTCCCTCAACGTAATATCTAGACATTAATCCATGCTTTTGAGTGTACCTGTAATTTATTTATTACTATTGTTTGTTAATATAGTATTTCATTATAAACGTTATTTAAAAAATAACCTGCTTGTTGATGGATGTTTGAACTGTTTCCATTATTTGGCTATTATGAATAAAAACTTCCTGTATTAGTCTGTTTTCATGCTGCTAATAAAGACACACCTGAGTCTGGGTAATTTATGTATATTTTATTTTATTTTACTATCATTAATTTTTTTTGAGATGGAGTCTCACTTTGTCACCCAGGCTGGACTGCAGTGGCATGATCTTAGCTCACTGTAACCTCTGCCTCCTGGGTTCAAGCAATTATCTTCCCTCAGCCTCGTGAGTATCTGGGATTACAGGCATGTGCCACCACACCCAGCTAATTTTTGTATTTTCAGTAGAGATGGGGTTTCACCATGTTGGCCAGGCTGGTCTTGAACTCCTGACCTCAAGTGATCCAATCACTGCAGCCTCCCAAAGTGTTGGGATTACAGGTGTGAGCCACCGTGCCTGACCTGGGACTGAGTAATATATAAAGGAAAGAGGTTTAATTGACTCACCATTCATCATGGCTGGGGAGGCCTCAGAAAACTTACAATTGTGGCAGAAGACGAAGCAAACACATTCTTCTTCACATGTTGGCAGGAAGGAGAAGAATGAGAAAAGTGCAGAGTGAAGGGGAAAAAGCTCCTCACAAAACAATCAGACCCTCTGAGAACTCACTCACTATCATGAGAACAGCATGAGAGAATCACTTTTATGATTCAATTACCTCCCACAAGTTCCCTTCCCCAACATGTGAGGTTTACAATTCAGATTACAATTCAAGATGAAATTTGTGTGGGGACACAGAGCCAGAATATCACTTCCTATGAACAATTTTTTTAATTTCTGCATTTATATTTTTATTAATCTTTGATAAATATCTAAAAGCAGGATTACTGGATCTTTGGACAGAAGCATATTTAATTATATAATAAACTATTTTAAAAATCTATTTTACAAAGTAGTTTTATCATATTATATTCAAGTAATTAATAAGCTTTCTACTTGCTTTCTACTTGAATAATACTTAGTGTTATTCATATTTTAGGTTGTGGTCATTCTTGCAAATATGTAACAGTTTTAATTTGCATTTCCCTGATTGCTATTTATGTGCTTACTGGTCTACATATTATTGATTGTATTTTTTTTCTTTGTGATTGTACATATTCAAGCATTTTCCCATTTATAGAATTATTGTTATCTTAATAATTGTACTCTTTGTTTATATATACTGTATTCAAATCTTTTGTCAGGTATGTGTGTTAGAAATATTTTCTCCTAATTTGTGGCTTGGCTCTTCAGTTTATTAATGGTATTAATCTAAGAGAAGACAGTTTTTATTTGATGAAATACAACTTGTCATTTTTATGATTTATTATATTTGTGCCCTAATAAACATTTGTCTATCTCACGGTTGTGAAATATTCTGTGTTTTCTTCTAGAAGTTATTATATATTGGTGCAAAACTAATTGCTTTTAATGGCAAAAGCTACAATTACTTTTGCACCAATCTGATATCTCATACTCTTGTTTTTTCTTTGTCTATTCAGTTTTCCTGAAGACTTGAATCTTTCATGAAGTGCTTGCAGATTCTCTCTTCCTCTCTCTCTCTTCCCTTGTCCAGTTATAGTAATGCCTACATTAAATATATCTTAGATCAAGTTCCCTCAACTTCTGAAATAGATTTCTGTACACTGAGAGTTTTACTGGGAAGTGCTGTTAGGCATAATGCTTGTATTAGTCCACTCTATCAGTATCAATTTATTGTATTAGTCTGTTTTCATGCTGCTAATAAAGACATACTCAAGACTGGGTAATTTATAAAGGAAAGAGGTTTAATGGAATCACAGTTCCACATGGCTGGGGAGGCCTCACAATCATGGTGGAAGGCAAGGAGGAGCAACTTAGATTTTACATGAATGGCGGCAGGCAAGGAGAGACAGTTTGTGCAGAGGAACTCCTTTTTATAAGACCATCAGATATCATGAGGCTTATTCACTACCACGACAACCATATGGGGGAAACCACCCCCATGATTCAATTATCTCCCACTGGGTCCTTCCCACAACACATGGGAATTATGGGAGCTACAATTCAAGATCAGATTTGAGTGGGAACACAGCCAAACCATATCAATGCTTTTGAATAATTAAGGAATCTGGAGCTGGATGACCTTTCATAATTATCTCAAATTCCAAAAGAACTTGGCCTTTAAACACCAATATTCACCAGTAATATAAATAAAAGCTGCCCCCTAGAAAGAAACCTTGGCAGAACTGATCAAGAGCAATTTCCAGGGCGGAATTCGACTTTGAGCCTGAGCATGCCAGATTTGACCCATTGGCCTTAGTTTGCTGACCCCTGCTGTAGGGTATTCCAGGTGTAAGATCATATTATTTGCAATTGTGATTACTTTGTTTACCATTCTGATGCCTCTCTTATGTTGCATTATGGCGTTGGCAACATACATAATCATGTTAAAATATATCCCTCAATTTAGATTTTCTTGAGTGTTTTTTATCAGAAATGGCTCTTAGGTTTTGTGAGATATTTTTTCCCCTGCAGCATGGAGATAATGAAAATATTTTATTACTTAAATCTATTAATGTGGTACATTGATATTAATGAATTTCTTAGAATTGAACTAATCTTGCATTTTGGAATAAATCCTGTTTGGTCATTGTGAAGTTGTTTTCAGCAAAATGATTTTTAAGAAGTTGGTAAATAATTTCAAGAAGAAGGATGTTTTTAGCGAATTTTCATAGAATAAAACAAATACAAACAAGACTAAGCAAACACAAAAATGAAACAGCAATAATAATGCAGATAGAAGGATACTAATGTTTACTAAGGATTGTTTATGGTTTTAAACTAATTTATTGTTTTGAGGTAGATCAAGTAGTTTTATGATAATTTTGTAAGTAAATTTGTGCTACATGTCTTGGAAAATATTTCCTCACCCTGCCTCTACCAACTATAGACAGAAAGTTGAGTATTTTGTACAGCAAAATTTAAATGTTAACTTATTTAGAAGCAGATAAAGTTTAGTAAAATAAATTGTATTTTATATCTTTCAGTGTGTCTTAACATTCATAATTACTTTTGCTACATATGTGACTTTGAAGTAGGAAGAGAAGTTTTTTAATTCTCTATTTAGTAAAATGGTGAACACGAGAAAACCAAACTATGCTGACCTGAAATCAAACATTTAAGCTTGACTTTCTTCTCTTTTCTCTGTGACTTATTTTGTTGGGTATATTATGATGAAATTGAAGCAATATATTATGGCAATATTTTATATTTTCTTGCTTTCTAGTATTTGAGATGAAGATATTTTGGTGATTTTGATAATGCCATCTCATTTACCTGGCCATAATGCTGACATTGGGAAAATTTATGTGAAGAGAACATTATATAATACATTGCTTTGATTTACAGATAAATTTGATTTTTTTAATTTATAAAATTTCAGCATGAATTTCAGTTTGGTTGTGCCTAAAATGCATAAATTTGCAATATTTTTCTTCTTGCTTTGGGGATGGTCTTTCTTTTATGGAATAAACCATGAAATGTTTTAGGTTAGCATAATAGATGTGATAGCCATACGTGTAGAAGATCAAAAAATTTAGGGATAGATGAAGAGGGAGGTTAAAAAAAGAGGCAAAAAAGAAGAAAAAAAGAAGGAAGAAAAAATAATGAAATAAAAGAAGCAAGTAGGGAAATAAAGTTACATATGTAATATTTTGCAGCCTAATTTCATTATGTTAGGGCAGATAATACATCTTTATCTTTTAATTCTGTGGTATCCAGAATCATGCTTTGTTACGTCGTTATAAGCCCATAAATTTGTACGAAGTGAAGAAAGAGGATAGGCAGGCATAAGGGCTTACTGACTGGTAGGTTTCTTTTATGTTAAACTTATATACATTTCTACTATATTGTACTTTTGAATATGCTGTGTAACTGCTTCTAATATCATTTATTTATATTAACATAAATATTACAATATCCTCATATTACAAAATATGAGGATTCTGGTTAAGAATTTATAGTTTACCATCTCCACTATGTTAAGATAATATGCATGGGAAATGACCTTTGAAAAAGCTATTTGAAGAGCTTGGTTTCTAATGCCATTCTCTAATGAAATAAACTTTGAGAAATGACTACTTCTAGGCATTAAGGCAGGGAATAGACACGATGATTCTGGAGCATCTTTAGTGCCAGAGAGTAAGTGCTCATAAAACAAAATATGTGTATTTGGCAAAGAGACATGGAAGCAAACTAAAAGAGCTGCCCATGGCCAACTTTAACAATTTGACTAATAAATCTAATTTGCTATTAGGTTATAAACCCAAGAATGAAAGAAATATCCATGAATCAAAATTAATATAAATATATGATAAAAAATAAATAAATGGAAGATAATAGAAACATTTTCCCTATGAAAGAATCTCAAATATTTGCATAGATAGGGATGCCTCAGTGAGGTGAAGCATAACTTCCTTCCAAAGAGTATAAAAAGAAGGGGGAAGTTTAGTTAGTTTTCACTGGAGAAACATAATAAAAGTACATATGCCATGCAAACAAGGGCACCATTATCAATTAAATAATATTGTTGATAATAGGCACCATCCATAGAAATAATGATGAGAATGGCACTTTACCTCTGTGGTCTTCCTCTCAAAACTCATAACCACTGTCGAATCTTATGAAAAACCTCAGACAATGCAGTATTGACAGAAATTTTACAAGATATCTGATCGGTAGTCCTTAAACTTTTCAAGGTCATCAAAAAATGAATGTCAGAAACTATCACTGTCTAGAGGAACCAAAGGACACACGACTACTAAATGAGGTGTGAATTTTGGATGGGATAGCCTGGTGTAGAAAAAGTATATTAGAGGCCGGGCGCGGTGGCTCACGCCTGTAATCCCAGCACTTTGGGAGGCCGAGGCAGGTGGATCACGAGGTCAGGAGATCGAGACCATCCTGGCTAACATGGTGAAACCCCGTCTCTACTAAAAAATGCAAAAAATTAGCTGGGCGTGGTGGCGGGTGCCTGTAGTCCCAGCTGCTCGGGAGGCTGAGGCAGGAGAATGGCATGAACCCAGGAGACGGAGCTTGCAGTGAGCCGAGATCATGCCACTGCACTCCAGCCTGGGAGACAGAGTGAGACTCCGTCTAAAAAAAAAAAAAAAGAAAAAGTATATTAGAAAAATAAATAAATAAATACCAACCAAACACACAAAACAAAATCCAAATTCAATATGCACTTTCCTTAATAAAAATGTACAAATATGGGTTTATTAGCTGGTGGAAATCTACCATATGCATAGAATATTTTAATAATATGAGAAATCGTGTGAAGTATAAGGGAACTTCCTACTGTCTTTCCAACTTTTCTGTAAATCTGAAACTATTCTAATATAAATGTTTACAAAAAAACTCATAGTAATTTGTAATCTTTTTTTTGTTTTGTTTTGAGCATGTACCTTAAGGAATCTAGATAGTTTACATGGGTAAACTATAAGTGTAACACTAATGTAGCATAGTATTTCTATGCTTATAATTGTCATATATTTACCTTGTAAAGAAGTTTATATAATTTCTTGAAGTATAATTAGATCTATTAGTCATTTTTGGATCTTGCAGTTTTTTTATTGCTGTTTTTCATGCAGAAGCTGATAAGGACAATATAAAAATAAACTATTAAAAATGTTAAAATGAGTTATCCTTTGTTTATTATTGCAATATTTAGATTGCTTTAGGCTATCTTTTTCTCTTTGGCAGTAAATCTAATACTCAGTACATAGAACTCTACTGGCTTCACAAATATCAAAATCTAATTGAAAAATGGACAGCATGATAAACCTGATTTTCCTTTATGCAATGGGGAGAATAAAATTAACAAAGAGAAGCATTTTCACAGACTTGGGATAAATATTTCCTCTAAATTCCTTAAGCATTTAAAGATACATCTCACATCTATTGTTCTCTAAATTAACATATATTATGGGTAATTTTTAAAACAGCTCTATTGAGGCATAATTTAAACCAATAAACTGCATATGTCTAAAGTGTACAATTGAATATGTTTTGATGTGTGTATGAAATCATCACCACAATCAAGATAATGAACACATTCATCATACTAAAAGTATCTTTCCTCTTAATCCTTGCCTGTTCATCTTCATCTCTAAGTAACCACTTATCTTTCTGTCACTACAGATTCATCTACATTATCTAGGATTTTATAAAAATAGAATAATACAGCATATTTATTTTGGGTTGGCTTTTTCGTTCAGCATAATTAGTTTCCATAGAACTATAGAATCTATAGTTCATTTTGTTGTCAAGTAGTATTTCATTATATGGATACACCAAATTTGTTTTTCCATTTATATTTTCCATTCTGTTGATGAGTATTTGTTTTGTTTCCAATGTTTGTCTATTGCAAATAAGTTGGTGTAAACATTCCTTATGCCTTCACTTGGACATATATTTCTTACTCTCTTAAATAAACACATATAAATGAAATGGCTGGATTATAGGATAGACATACATTTAACTTTTAAAAAACTGCCCAACTGTTTTATAAAATGGTTGTACCATTTTCATTCTTAACAGTAGTTTTTGTTTCTTGTAAGTATGTAGGTTAGATAAAACCATACGTAATAATAAAAATACATAGTAATGATAAAAAGTAGATGAACCAGGTTTCTGCTTACTGATTATATGCTTGAAATCAACATTTCTCAAAGGACATTTTTGAGTTCTCATTGTAAGTTAACTGCACAGTTTTCTAGCAGTAGCATAACAGCTTCAAGTACTCAAATTAGCTTCTTAAAACTCTGTACTAAATTTATAGAAAATCTAGGCTATGGGTGGTTGGAGCTAATTGTATTATATTTTCAGCTATTTGTCAATTATACTATGAGAAGGGCCAACTATCTTGATTTCTGTGATTTATAAAAGTACTTCTGGGCTTGAAGATCACTTTTATATCCGATACTTCTTATATGACTGCATTACCACGCAATTTTCTGTTTCAGTCAAATTATCTGACATAGCAATTACTGGATATTATCTAATAAGGAAAAAGTCTATATACAGTTTTTTCTCTTTTTGTCAATTACCTTCAGGTAAGTATAAGAGATAAATAATATGTATGAACAGTTTCTAAGAAATTTGACCTAATTCCTTCATAAATGAGCTCACCAAATTAATAAAAACTTAGATTATCTATTTCATATAATGCCATGTTTGATTGTGTGAATGTATTCATAGTGAGAGAAGCTCTGATTATCTTCCCAACATCTATATATTATTATACATTTTATGGTTTAATCTGAACATTAAAAAATATATAAGCAGTGATTCAATTTTCAACAGGATTGTGAAACTGCACTTAGCATTGAGAAGGTTAAACTCCATTTTCACATAGCTATAATAGCACCTGGAATATTATTCTAATGATGAGTACAACACAGCTCATATTATTAATGGGATAAAACTTAAAAAGTCACACTAACAATTTAGATGTAAAACTCCTAGCATTTAAATTGAAATTACATCTTTCCTACGTGTTGCATAAGTCCTTGCAACACACCATCTGTTTTTGTGTTGTGTTTGTTTTTAGTCTTTTAATGAATAGTCAGTAACTTGACGAAATAAGGAGAGTGGTCTGATAAATTTTTTGTAATTTTCTTGAATCAAGGGTGTCTTATTTTGCTGTTGAGTAAATATTTTCCTAAGCAACTGTAATAAAAATCAAAACATAAATATAAATGAAAAATCATAAAATTTAAAGGGAACTTCCAAAAGGCCATGAAAAAATGAACTTAAAATATAAAAATAAAGAGAAACTTTATTTCTCAACATAAGATCCATTAAGTTCAAGACGTTCTTGTAAGCAATGGTAACAGCTATTTAGTTCATCCTTAAAGAACAGAGGGTCCTGGAAATTTAACCTTGTCTATGCAGTCTTTTTTAGACTATTAATTGAGGAAAAATTGATGGCTTTCAAAGATCCATTTCAGATTAGGAAACAAAATAGTAAAAAAAAAAAAAAAATCAAATCAGGACTTTAAAGTGAATACCTAAGACTTCCCATTGAAACTCTCATTAAATTGTCCTTGTTTGAAAAGAGGAATAAGCAGGAACATTGTCTTTGTGAAGAAGGATTCTCTGTTGAGGCTTTCCTGGGCATTTTTCTGCTCAAGCTTTGGCGAACTTTTTCAAAACACTGTCAACTTAAACAGATATTTTCATTCTTTGGTTCCCCAGAAACTCAGTAAGAAAAATGCCTTGAGCATCACCAAAACCTCTTATAATGAACTCTGCTCTTGCCCAGTCTGTTTTTGCTTTGACTGAAGTTGTTTCACGTCTTGGTAGCCATTGCTTTGATTGGGCTTGTTCTTCAGGATTGTACTAGTAAAGCCACGTTTTATCTTCTGTTACGATTCTTTGAAGAAATGCTTTAGCATCTTGAACCTACTTGCCTAAAATTTCCATTGGAAGCTGTAGTCTTGTCTGCAGCTGATCTGGGTGCAATGGTTTTGGCATCCATCAAGTGAAAATTTTGCTCAGATTTAATGTTTCAGTCAGAATTGTGCAAGTTCAATCAGTTTAGATGTCTGTGGTGTTGGTAATTGTTTCTACTGTTAGTCCTTACTATCTCAATTAGGGCAACAGCAGGATATATTTTTTTCTACATATATTCACGTGGATGATCTGCCACTGTCGGTTGCATCTTCAACATTATCTCATCCCTTCTTAAAATGAGTTAATCATTTGTAATCTGCTGATTTCTTTAAGGAATTGTCCTTATAAAATTTTAATAAAGCATCAATGATTTCACCATTGTTTCACTCAAGCTTCAGCATAAAACAGATGTTTATTCCTTCTTCAGTTTCAGCAGAATTCATGTTGATCTGATAGGAGCTCTTTTCAAGCTAATGTCTTACCCTGCTTAGTGCCCCTAACTAGATCCATTTCAGACACAGTATAACAAATGAGTATGAATTTATTTTTATGCAAAGCATTTGAATCCATGCATAGTTTTTTTCTTATAATATGCATTTTCTTTTTTAAATTTTATTTTATTATTATACTTTAAATTCTGGGGTATATATGTAGAATGTGCAGGTTTGTTACATAGATATACATGTGCCATGGTGGTTTGCTGCACCCATCAACCTGTCATCTACATCAGGTATTTCTCCTAATGCTATTCCTCCCCTAGCCCCCTACCCCGCAACAGGCCCCAGTGTGTGATGTTCCCCTCCCTATGTCCATGTGTTCTCATTGTTCACCTCCCACTTATGAGTGAGAACATGCGGTGTTTGGTTTTGTGTTCTTGTGTTAGTTTGCTGAGAATAATGGTGGCCAGCTTCATCCTTGTCCCTGCAAAGGACATGAACTCATCCTTTTTTATGGCTGCATAGTATTCCATGGTGTATATATGCCACATTTTCTTTATCCAGTCTATCACTGATGGGCATTTGGGTTGGTTCCAAGTCTTTGCTCTTGTGAACAGTGCCTCAATAAACATGTGTGTGCATGTGTCTTTATAGTATATTATGTATTTTCCATGAGCCTTTCGAAGGTCACGCCTACATGTTTCCAAGTTTTTTTAGGTCTAAATTATCCATTATTTCCTGTAGGGTTTGTGGCATAAAATTATATTGGCAAAAATGTCATGAGAGTAATAAATATGTTGACATATAAGGAAGGAAGTGCAGTTTATATTTGAAGACACAAATCATCCAGACAGACACAAGAATTTCTTTTGAAGTTTAACGTGTTCAAAATTTACACTGTGTTTTTCAACAAGTATAAAAATGCTTAAGTTATTTTTGGTGGTAATTATACATTAGTGCCAACCAGGCTGTTTCCAATTTCCTGTTTATAAATTCTTAAATTTAAAGAGCTAGCTCAATACATCATGAAAATATTTCACTCTGACTACTCTCAACCTTGTTTAACATTATTTTTATGGGAAAATGTCTTATTCTTCTTAGGAAAAAACATTCTGTCAGTTCCTGTCACATCTTTGTGGGCTCTCCAGTTTGATGAACTATAATCAAATAAAACACATATTATACTCTGGCCCTTCCATTTTAATAGTCCTCCCTTTAAACTTTTCCCTTTCTGGGGATCATAGCATTAGGTCTCCTGATTGATAAGTAAAATAAACATTTAAAGTATACCATCTTATAGAATGTTTTCTTTTCAAATAAGCTGTATTGTAGTATTGACCTATTCGTGTTAGTTTTTAGTCTCAATTATTTTATTAGGCATTATAGAGTTTCATCAATAAGAAATAACCATTACTATGTAATCAAAGACAATATGAAATGTGACCTCCAACCAACACTTATTTCTGTTTGTCTGGGCCATTCACAATCCCTACACTCTCACCAATCTTCTAAGCAATATCATGTTTTATTCTTGTTGAATCCCTTCATACCACTGCACTGTAGCACAGTAGTAATTACATTAAAGGGAAGATTATTGTCAGATTATGAAAATTTTGAAATATTGAGCTATTATTCATAAATTGTACCCCTCAAAAACCACTTTTTCTTTAAAGTTTATGCATTTTTACTAATAAAAATCCATCAATAAATAAATGCATCATTTAAAAATGCTCCTCAGAAAGAAGGATACCACAAATGCCTACATGCATTGCAGTAATTTTTTATTTATTACAGTGATGAATAAGTCTTCCTAGTTAAAAATGAAAACTACTATGAAGGTAACAGAAATTAAAAAAAATATATACATATATAAAATAAAGATTAAATATAATCAACCCCAAACCGTTCATTGATATAAAAGTGATAAAATGTTTAAGATGTAGTGTTTAATCATCCTTTGTTTATGAAAGGCAGGATGTAAAATATAAGCCATTTTCAGAAATGAATTATCCATGAAGATGATAAACTTCAAAAACTAAATAGAAAAAAAAGTGGTAGTCTTCCATTGCCAAAGATGCTAAAGATGGAAAGAAATTTCAAAGGGTTAGGAAGCTCTTTAGAAACCTAGCACTGACTAAGAAATTACATGTAATATAAAATAAATGTAAAGGGCATTAAAGGAAGGACAAAAACCTTTTTTGAGCTTTTATTGTGTATAATGTTTATTATATATTAGTTAATCTACTGTTTTTGGCAAATATTCATATTAGCAATTATTATTTTCATGAGGACTCAAGCTTAAAAGGTTTAATTAATTGTCCTGAGCCACTCAGTAACTTTGATGTAAATATCAAAGCCAGAATAAGAAGCCAAGTTGGTCTGATTTAAAAACTATACTTTTATATTTTCATTAAAACAATTTCTAAACACTGAAACCAATCAGTGTCTGCATAGTATCATGAATTTAAAGTGTTTGGAAGTTAAAAATGAAGACAGAATTTTAGTTTCAGGTCGTTAAAACCAATGATACTGAAGTTACCTCCTGGGGTGAATAAATAAACAACAGAACAAAATATTTGAAACTAATATTTTTAGGTACTGGGCAATAGATAGGTAAATAATATAATATCAGAGAATGTAAGCAAATGATATGAGCCTTATGATTACCATCGCGTATCTCTGGGAATCACTTTCTGGCCATAGTGTATTTTAAGTAAGAAACTGTCATGGGTCTGAGACTTTACCTTGCTTGGAAGCTAACAAGTTAGTTTGCCCTGAAACACACAAGCATACACCTCTGGATGAGCTAACAGACACTTTATTTACACACAGGGCATTCCGTGTTAGCTCCCCATTCTTGAATTCCATGTGAGATAACACAATGATAGCTAGCTATCACCTCAGGAGTTTGCACTACAGGAGAGATATTCTGAAATTATGAATCATTGAGGTCATATAAGAGCTGTTGACACACCAGCCTATCCTCACTTTCAGAGATAGCAAAAAAGACCTTACTCTTAAATGTAAACAATTTATTCTGGAGAAGGAAGGGAAAGCCTTCAGCTTTTCTTCAACACCATGGAACATAAGAAAACATCACTGGGTTTTATTAGTCTATAAGAAATGATTTCAATGGAAAAAATAATGTATTTAAATCTGAAGGATAATAAATGATTTCTAACTTCCAAGACGTATGTATCTTTAAGTCATCATATAATTCAGGTGCTTCTTTTCTCAGAAAGCCCTGACTATGCAGAAACATGAAATATTTATTAAGTGTTATCTCCTACACTGTAGATAGGGGAAATTCAAAAAGAACATAACAGTCTCATCAAATAGAGGAGAAAAATAATTTGAATTCAGGGAATGTGAAGCACCTTGAATTTGCAGAGCAGATGTCCATCGAAGTGGGAGCTACATGAATAAAAAGCTTAAATAATCTTCATCTTGGTACTGATGAATACTAAGAAGTATGTGTATCAAGTAACACTCCATATAGTTGGGCAGGAATAATCAAGTTGTATGGTGAAGCTCATAAAGGGCTATGAGACATTTGATTTCTGACCTGCTAGAGTAAAGAGTCCTTCTTAAAAATCTGAGGCATTCAGTAGAGGCTACAGAAGGGATAAACCATGTAGTAAGTCTAAAATAGCTGAGTATAAAGATTGCTCCAAACCCCTATTCTAAGAAACTTAAACAGGCTTCAAGAGGTAATCAAGGAAGGTATTATAACTTCTTTCTAGAAGACGGAATAACATATTTTGAAAGATGATAACAAAAATAACCACAGAAGATAAAACTTGCAATGTCAAGCATCCAATCAAAATTACTAGACATAAAAACAAGCAATAACGTAAGAACCATAACCAGGATAAATATAAGCAAGTAGCAGTAGACACAGAAATTATAAGCATGACTGAATTATTAAACAGGGTCTTTAAAATAGCAATTATAATTACGTTCAGATATAAAGAAAAATATAGTAAACATAATAAGAGGAAAGGGAAACATAAAAAGTAATACCATGTAACACCTAGCATTAAAAATGATAACCAGAAAATATGTTTATTGGATGCTACACAAGAGCAGAAGGAAAGGGCAATAAACTTAAAGACTGAATAAGATATAACATCAGAAGATCAGTATACTGAAAGATAGAGCAATAGAAGCTATTCAAACTGAAAAATAAAAAATGCTAGAAAAAATAACATATCATCAGTTTATGTGAGATAATATCAGTACATATGGATTCGGAGTCTCAAAAAAGGATGTGTGAAAAATAATATAAGGACCGGCAATTTTCCATGTTTAATGATAATTATAAACTCAGAGATCCCAAATTATCAATGTAAACAATTCATAATCAACATAAAGAAAAGCACAACATTGGATATTATAATGAAATTTCTGTAAACCATAGAAAACCAAAAAGCCTAAACTGAGCCGGAGGGTAAGATAATTATACTTTTAACAAAGTAAAGAAAAATTGCCTGATTCTTGTCTTGTCAAGTCAGAAATCAATGAAGAAACATTTAAAAAATAATTTTAGAAACTTTCAACACACAATTCTGTGCCAAGAGAAAATATCCTTTAAAATTGAAGGTGAAATGAACATACTTTCAGGTTAAAAATTATGTCACTAACAGGTCTAAACTATTTTAAAAGTTGAAGAATTTCTGTGGGCTGAAGGAAAATAAAAGATGCAATCTTGGATTAGCACAAAAAATGAAAAATGGTAGAAATGAATGTTAAAATATATTTTTCAATTGGCCCAGATGTTTATGTTGAAAGTTTCTTTAATTTAAAGATTTCTCTTTTTTGGCTTCTGGGTTGGCAAGGCCAGAAGCATGCTATTATCATCAAGAAGGTTTTATATCAGAAATGCAAAATTAGTTCAACATTAGAAGAGTAATAAATGTAATTAAATCTTTTAAGAGAAAATTGATGAAAAAATCACCTAACCATCTTTATAAAAGCAGAAAAATATCTGACCAAATGTGACAATTTAAGGTAAAGAATCTCAGCAAACTAGTAACAGAAGGCAACTTTCTCAATTGGATCAATAATATCTACAAACAAGTATAAATACTTTCACATGGTATAAATCATACTTAAGTGAGCAAGAGTGAAACCTACCATCATCCCAGAAAAAAATAACAGGAATAAACAAGAATGTCAACTCTCGCTACTTGTATTTAATATTTTGTTAGAGGTACTAGTACTAGTTAGTGTAATAAAGAAAGAAGAGAAAAAGCATATATTTTGTAAAGGAAGAAATACAGTAACTTTATTTCTAGAGGATATGATTGAGTACTTAGAAAATCCAAGAAAATACACAAGAATGCTTCTAGAAATAATAAATGCATTTGTAAAAATTGAGGGTATGACTTCAATACATTTAAGCCAATTATATCTCCATACACTTAAAACATTTATAAATTAAAAGAATAAGATCATTATCATACTTTCCAAAATTTCAAGTACATAGGAACAAATTTAAAAATGTGTACACAACTTGAAATCTTTTAGAATAGAAATATAGATCAATAGGAAATATTAGAGTCCAGAAATAGACCCATCTGTATATGGTTGACTGAATTTTTTAGTGAAGTACCAAGGCAATTCAATGTAGAAAGCATAGAGTTTTCAAAAAATTGTGCTGAAAAAACTGGATATTCATATGGAAATATCAAACTAAACCATAGGCTTTGCTTTAGACACACCAAAAATATGAATAATAGACTTAAACATTAAAATTAATAATAGACTTAAACATTAAAATTCAATCTATAAAAAATAAGAAAAGATGGGAGAAAATCTTCAGAGAGAAAAATTTCTTAGGAAGTAGAAAGCGCTAAACATAAAGAAATAGTGACATTTTATATGGTTTTGATTTTATAAAGATACTTTAGAACAATGAAAAAGCAAGTCATAGGCTGAGATAATATATTTGTAAAGCATATAAGAACTCCTGCAATGCAATAAAAGTGGGCAATATTGAACACATGCTCTTCTTGTTTGCTTCACTTGAGGACCAAGCAACTGAAAAGTTACTCTTGGGAACATTGCAGGTTACCATTAGTAGGCTGGCGATGGCATGTTGAGGGAGCAACATGGATAATTTAACACTAGCATCCAAATGCTCACTTGTATGTAAAATTTACATACATCACTTTTGCTCACAACTCATAAGCCAGAATTAGCAATGTAGCCACACCAAACCACCAATGATGTAGAAAAAAATAAAATCTTCTTATAGTTGGAAGGGGAAAAACGTTGGCAAACAGTAACTACATTAATGAAGGAATCAAGCTGTTTTTTGTTGTTGTTTGTTTGTTGTTTGTTTTTTTTTGAGACGGAGTCTCGCTCTGTCGCCCAGGCTGGAGTGCAGTGGCACGATCTCGGCTCACTGCAAGCTCCGCCTCCCGGGTTCATGCCATTCTCCTGCCTCAGCCTCCGTAGTAGCTGGGACTACAGGTGCCCGCCACCACGCCCGGCTAATTTTTTTAAGATTTTTGTATTTTTAGTAGAGACGGCATTTCACCGTGTTAGCCAGGATGGTCTCGATCTCCTGACCTCGTGACCTGCCCGCCTCGGCCTCCCAAAGTGCTGGGATTACAGGCGTGAGCCACCGCGCGTGGCCAAGCTGTTTCTTAATAAATTATTAAGTTACATAGCTCAATGAATTTTTAAGAATCCACTTTAGGATTAGCACTCATAATATGCTGTGACTTGGAAGATTTTGGAAGATGCCTTGAGTTACAGATATTGACCAGGTTCTAACTTGAACTGAGATTTATGGATGTCATCAATGTAGTTGGATTTATTGTATAAACAGTTACACTCTTCTGAAGTTCAGGATAAAACTCTCACTGGCTAAACTCAAGAAGTCATTTTTAAAGGCGTTATTAGAAGTTAGTTCCACACACATTTACATATCTGAACAGAAGTGGTAAATTCTCACTATCTGTCTTAAACCCCACCAAGTCTTTGCACTTGCTAATTTCTTATTTGGGGACATTTTTATCCACTCCTGCTGCCTGAGAATCTTCTCCTCCCAGGTTTCATTTTAACATCGTTTCTCATATACTGTTTTCCTCTGCCTCAGTTAACTCTATTTGCTCCTTTCTCTGTGTTGTCAGAGCCTTTGTATATAACTGGGGCATAGCACATCTGCCATTAAATTAAAACTGTATCCATGCTGATATTCTTTGTCGATATTATAACAATTGCCCTAAATTCTTCACAGTTGTACAAGATTCATGTGCATTTTATCTGTAGTTGTCCTACAACATCAAGCATGCTATTTGTTAAATAAATATTTGTTCTATAAATTAATTAGAAATGACTGCAAAACAGAATGAAGACATACATCAGTTGAAAAATATTTTTCATTTTAGAAAAGTCACATGGCAAACAATCCCAATACTAATTCAAAGACACATCTCAATCATTTTTATAATATATTTAGCAGTTTGACTTTAAACAAAGCCAAACTTATTCTTACATGAAAGACATAAAATAACATTTAGAAACTCTATAGATTAACCATAATAAACATTTCCCTATTTCAGTGGAGGAAGGAAGCACAAATTAAAAAATTGAGAAAATGGAGACTGATCATTAAGAGGAAACAAAAAGTAAGGTTATTCTGCCAAAAATGCAGAATGATTCTGTTATCTACAAATCCCTGTAGGTGAGAGTGAACAGCAACTCTGCTATGCTAAATGTTTAGGTCAACTCAGAACTTTTCCTGGAGAGTTTTGGAACTCTGGACTGAATATGAGAGGTGTATAATGAGTGACAGAACAGTGAGGGAAAGTGTTTCATGCTGTAGGCATATATAGCTCTCAAAGCCCCACAGAGATTTTTAAAGCATTCACAAATGATACAAATAGTAATCAGGAAGTCCTGCCAAATACATGGTTAATAATAAATACAAATTTCTTTGGGCCAAACAAGGATATCCTATGTCAAGACCAAGTTCTTCTAAGTTACTTGTGAAGGCAAATTTTTTTTATTTTACTTTAAGTTCTAGGGTACATGTGCACAAAGTGCAGGTTTGTTACATATGTATGCATGTGACATGTTGGTGTGCTGCACCCATTAACTCGTCATTTACATTAGGTATATCTCCTAATGCTTTCTATTCCCCCTACCCCCACCCCACAACAGGCCCCACTGTGTGATGTTCCCCTTCCTGTGTCCAAGTATTCTCATTGTTCAGTTCCCACCTATGAGTGAGAACATGCGGTGTTTGCTTTTTTGTCCTTGCGATAGTTTGCTGAGAATGATGGTTTCCAACTTCATCCATGTCCCTACAAAGGACATGAACTCATCCTTTTTTATGGCTGCATAGTATTCCATGGTGTATATGTGCCACATTTTCTTAATCCAGTCTATCATTGATGGACATTTGGGTTGGTTCCAAGTCTTTGCTATTGTGAATAGTGCCACAATAAACATATGTGTACATGTGTCTTTATAGCAGCATGATTTATAATTCTTTGGGTATATACCCAGTAGTGGGATGTCTGGGTCAAATGGTATTTCTAGTTCTAGATCCTTGAGGAATCGCCACACTGTCTTCCACAATGGTTGAACTAGTTTACAGTCCCACCAACAGTGTAAAAGTGTTTCTCCACATCCTCTCCAGCACCTGTTGTTTCCTGACTTTTTAATGATCACCATTCTAACTGGTGTGAGATGGTATCTCATTGTGGTTTTGATTTGCATTTCTTGGATGGCCAGTGATGATAAGCATTTTTCCACGTGTCTGTTGGCTGCATAAATGTCTTCTTTTGAGAAGTGTCTGTTCATATCCTTTGCCCACTTTTTGATGGGGTTGTTTGTTTTTTTCTTGTAAATTTGTTTGAGTTCTTTGTAGATTCTGGATGTCAGCCCTTTGTCAGATGTGTAGATTGAAAAAATTTTCACCCATTTTGTAGGTTGCCTGTTCACTCTGATGGTAGTTTCTTTTGCTGTGCAGAAGCTCTTTAGTTTAATTAGATCCCATTTGCCAATTTTGGTTTTTGTTGCCATTGCTTTTGGTGTTTTGGACGTGAAGTCCTTGTCCATGCCTGTGTCCTGAATGGTATTGCCTAGGTTTTCTTCTAGGGTTTTTATGGTTTTAGGTCTAACATTTAAGTCTTTAATCCATCTTGAATTAATTTTTGTATAAGGTGTAAGGAAGGGATCCAGTTTCAGCTTTCTACATATGGCTAGCCAGTTTTCCCAGTACCATTTATTAAATAGGGAATCCTTTCCCCATTGCTTGTTTTTGTCAGGTTTGTCAAAGATCAGATGGTTGTAGATGTGTGGTATTATTTTTGAGGGCTCTGTTCTGTTCCATTGGTCTAAATCTCTGTTTTGGTACCAGTACCATGCTGTTTTGATTACTGTAGCCTTGTAGTATAGGTTGAAGTCAGGTAGCGTGATGCCCCCAGCTTTGTTCTTTTGCTTAGGATTGTCTTGGCAATGCGGGCTCTTTTTTGGTTCCATATGAAATTTAAAGTAGTTTTTTCCAATTCTGTGAAGAAAGTCATTGGTAGCTTGATGGGGATGGCATTGAAGCTATAAATTACCTTGGGCAGTATGACCATTTTCACGATATCGATTATTCCTATCCATGAGCATGGAAAGTTCTTCCATTTGTTTGTGTCCTCTTTTTGAAATGCCTCAAAGAGCAACCTTTTAAAAGTTATTTGCAGACAGAAAATGCAATATTTACCATAAATTATTCCTTTCTAGATGGTTACCTATCTTGCCAACAAAGTCTCATTCTTGTAACACTTAATTTTCTATGAAGTGAAAGAGATAATAAAGTACAATTTATATTTAATATGTCGCTTTTCTTGCAGTTATATATTTTCATAGATGTAGTTGGCAACATAATTAAGGATTTAAAATTTAAAATTTCCTCATAATGAAAAGTGCAGCAAAGATTAATTTTCCGCCTAAATGCTAAAATGTAGAAATATGTTTCTCTTTTGGGAAAAAGAGGAACATGAAAACTAGCACTTAATCTTTCTGCTGTATTTCATATTTAAGATATATTTTTCACCTGTATTATACCTTAGGAAATAGCTAAAAAATCCTTTAAAGTATCTACTCTTGAAATTTATTAATACCATATGATTTTTCTTTACCTCTCTACATCTGTCAGAGGAAAAAAATTCTCTTTGTAAGCTAATGATTAATCTTGCCCAGGTGTTGGAAATTACCTAAATGCTTCTGTCTTTAATATTCTATGTTTAAATAATGGTTTAGATCCCATTGTGCTCATCAGACAATTCTATGTCCCCAAATTAATAAAATAATTAATAATAGCATCTCTAACTATTATTTTACTATTGTAAGTGATGTGATAATTTTGTTCAATGAAAGTTCAAGTTATTTTTAAAAAGAACTAAATAGGCCAGGCGCAGTGGCTCACTCCTGTAATCCCAGCCCTTTGGGAGGCCAAGGCGGGTGGATCACAATGTCAGGAGATCGAGACCATGGTGAAACCCCGTCTCTACTAAAAATACAAAAAAACAAAAAAAAAATTAGCTGGGCACGGTGGCGGGCACTGTAGTCCCAGCTACTGTGGAGGCTGAGGCCGGAGAATGGCGTGAATGTGGGAGGCAGAGCTTGCAGTGAGCCGAGATCGTGCCACTGTACTCCAGTCTGGGTGACAGAGCGAGACTCTGTCTCCAATAAAAATAAAAAAATAAAATAAAAAAGAACTAAATAAAATAGAAAATAATTCTTCTGAACTTCGTTTACCAAATAGGTTGGACAGAATTCTTAAATAATTCACCAGTGCATCATTAACCTAGCTAACTAACCTTTGGAGATCTGGCCTCTGCCCAACAATGTATAGTGCCTTTAGCATTTTCATTTCACTGTGATATGCATCTTTGGAAATGCTCTTTCTTTTTAACATTAGGAGAAAAGAAAAAAGTTTGACACACCAAGTCCAGCAGCTGACCTCGATGTCTTGAAGCATGTGTCCCTCTCACCCTTAAGTTGTATCTTTGACTCTCATACCTACTCTTCGTTTTGCCATAAATTAGGCACATATGCTTCAATGACTAAATTAAGTGTAATGGGCTTGTAATGTTTGCTTTCAGTCTGAAATAAAAATCTGAGGAAAATACTGAGAGAAATGAGCATGGATACTCATTCATGAGTATCTGGAGCTGTATGTATACCTCTAGGTTAGTAGATATAACTTTAAAAATAAAAGTTTATACTCAGAGAAAAAAATATCATGTTTTCAAGTCTCTCTTTACATCCTCCCAAGAATGGTGTGCAGTTGGGATGATGCAGTAGGCATTCCTCGTTACTTCCTAGTCCCCAAAGATAAGAGGTGAGTAAACTTGCATGAGGTGTCCATTAAATTTTCTATTGTCCCCAAAGTGTTTGACATATTTCATGCCACTAACTAAACACTCAAAAACCTATTAGGCATTAGAATTATTTTAAGCTTTCTATAAAAGGTAAAAAGCATGCTCTCTCTTCATGATGTGTTCAATAAAAATTGCTAAATATCTCTACTTGTTTTTAGGCCACTGAGAAATTGAGCTATAGCAGGCAGCTTTATGTAAAATTGGAAGGTGTTAGGTAGTTACAGTACATTCAGTCAAAGAATCAATCTAAAGCTTGCTTGCTTTCTACTTGTTTTATTTAAGGTAAAAGTAGTATCAAGGAAACTAGCATTCCTATCCTGCTTCTTTAGTTGTAGTTTAAAACATTACTGAAAGCTCTGATCAGGGGCACACGGTCAGGCATTTGACAGATGCTTGCCTTTTCTAAGGTGAATAGCTTTTATTAAAACATACTGTGAATGGCATTTTACCCTTAAAGCATGACATTTTAGAGGTCAAAGTAGTACTTCTTCTGCTAAAAATAATATTAGAAAGTGACTCTTACCAAATAATAAACACCTGCCATTGTACATATAGGAAAAGGAGGTGAAATACTTTTCATGTCAAAGATGCAATTCTCTATTTTCTGTTTTATGATCAAAACCACTAAGCACCTTACATGTCCAATAAATGGAATAATACTTCATGGTCACGCTTCAGATTGCAAACCTTGTATCATCCTACTGCATATCATCCCAAGCAGTAGCTGTACACATCTTTAGTTTCCTTTCCCTAAAGGGACATTAGAAGATTTTTCATAATGAATTGCAGGCATATTTTGGAAGTATATTATCACTTAATAAAGATTTTAAAAATCACAAGCTTAGGCTAAGCAAAAGAAATACAAACACAATGCAAGAAAGAATTATAAAAGAAAAATAAAAGAGTTCATATCAGTGATTGAGCCTGAAAATATTATTCTTTTATAGTAAATTATTTGGTATCATATAAGTAATAATAATTCACTTTAGGAATATCTTTCCATATAAAGGAAATATATCTCTACATATAAAAAGTAAGAATAATCATTCTAAAAAATCATTGTGTTTCCCACATGGAGGTTCACAAAAACCTTTATTTTCATATATATACATATATGAATATATATATACACATACACACACACACACATATAAGCTTGCTTTGGTGACTTGTAGAGAGGGGGAAGGGGAGAAGAAAATATATGTGAAACAAGCATAAATATAGATTCTTTTACTTAGTAACAATTCACCCACTAATAAGATAAAAGTCAGTATCAGTATCAACACACGCTACTCAGCAAACTTGCAAGTAGTCACGTACATTTTAGTGGTCACATTCATTAATTAATTCCAGAAACATTTAACGAGCATTCGCTACATGTAGGTTACTCCCCTTGATGCTGCCGACATAAATAAGTAAATATTCATTCTTGACATCAAATGTTTATGTTCAAAATAGGAAAAACAGAGCATCAATCACTTATATAAAATATGTTAGAGTCAGAACATAAAAGTGCACATGGATGACAAACAGAAAATGGAAAGAGATTCACTATCCCTTCACTACATAGAAGAAGAGAGGAGAATCTCATTAAGTACTAGTCCAGTATGGAGGCAATGAAGGAGTTGAGATTTTAAAGACTACATTTGCTAGACAAAGAATCTGATAATGTCCACCTAGGTGGAGATAAATATTATCCAGAGATAGAGAGGTAAAACTTATTACTCTATTGCTGGTATATAGAGTGCAAAGCAATAAATGGTAAATGATTAATCTCACGTGAGCCAGAGAGAGGTCAGAACAAGGCAGAATAGAAAGCTCCACCAATGGTTCCCATTCCCTGCAAGGACACCAAACTAACAACTATCTACACACACACATAAAAAAATTTCATAAGACCTAAAAAGCAGGTGAGCACTCATAATACCTGGTTTTAACTTCACAGCACTGCAAGAGGAAATTAAGATTGAAAAAAACAGTCTTGAATCATCAATGCCACACCCTTCCCCACCCCACAGCAGAGGCATGGTACAGGGAGCATCTTCGGGTGCTGGGAGAGAGAGAACACAGCAATTGTGAGGCAACCAACACAGTGCTTTCCTGTTAGAAAGAAAGGAAGATCAGACCAAACTCAGCTAAGTGCCTGCACATGGAGGGAGCATTTAAACAAGCTCTAGCCAGGAATCGCTGACCTCAGCAGTCAGAACCTGAGTGTCTGCAAACCTCACCACAGAGGGCTACAACACTGTGTGTCTCCAAGTAAACTTGAAAGGCAGTTTAGACAATAAGGACTGCAACTCTTAGGAGAGTCCTAGGGCTGAATTAGGCCTAGAGACAGTAGAGTATGAGTAGGGCACACAACTTACTGAGATACTAGCTCAGGCAGCCAAGGGAGTGTGGCATCACCCTTTTCCTAACCCCAGGATGCATAACTCAGGGCTTCAAAAGAGATTGTTCCTTCCCCTTAAGGGGAGGAGAAGGAAGAGTGAAGAGGACTTTGCCTTGCATCTAGGATACCAGCTCAGCCATAGCAGATTAGGGCAGTAGTCAGAGTCATGAGGTCCTGACTCCCACACAACATTTCTAGGCACACCTTGGACCAGAAGGGAACCTGATGCCTTGAAGGAAAGGACCCAGTCCTAGCAGCATTCATCACCTGCTAACTGAAAAGCCCCTGTGCCCCGAATAACCAGCAGCGATATCCAGGTACTACATTGAGAACCTTGGGTGAGCCTGTGAGATTTATTGGCTTTAGATGAGATTCAGCACATAACCAGCTGTGGAGGCTATGGGGCAAAAGTCCTCTGCTTGAGAAAAGCATCGGAAAAGAAAAGGGGACTTTGTCTTGCACCTCAGGTACCAGCATGGACATGAGGGGTAGAGCAGCATATCTCTACAAGTCTGCAAAAACCACAGTGTTACTGGGCTTGGGGTGCTTACTAAAGTAGGAAGAGCTTAAATCACAACACTCAAGTCCTTTTAAGTATCTAGAAAGCTTTCTCAAGAAAGACAGCTATGAATATGCCTAGGCAGTGAAGACTACAATAAATATATAACCTTTCAATGTCCACACGCTGAGGAACATCTACTAGCATCAACACCATCCAAAAAAATGATCTTACCAAATGAACTAAATAAAGCACCAGGGACCAATCCAGGAGAAAAAGAAATATGTCCTCTTTCAGATAATTCAAAATAGCTGCGTTGAGAAAACTCAAAGAAATTCAAGATAACACAGGAAAGAAATTTAGAATTCTATCAGATAAATTTAATAAAGAGACTGAAATAATGAAAAAGAATTGGCCAGGCACAGTGGCTCATGCTTTTGTAATCCCAGCACTTTGGGAGATTGAGGCGGGTGGACTACTGTGCCCAGGGGTTTGAGACCAGCCAGGACAACATGGCAAAACCCTGTCTCTACAAAAATACACACACAAAAAAAATTAGCTGAGTGCAGTTGTGTGCACTTGTACTCCCAGCTACTGGGAAGCTGAGGCAGGAGGATTGCTTGAGCTGGAGAGTTAGAGGTTGCAGTGAGTTGAGATCACACCACTGCACTCCAGTTCAGGTGACAGAGTGAAACTGTCTAAAAAAAAAAGAAAAAAGTAAAACAAGCGGAAATTCTGGAGCTGAAAAATGCAACTGGCATACTGAAATATGCATCAGAGTTGTTTAATAGCAGAATTGACAAGCAGAAGAAATAGTGAGTTTGAAGACAGGTTATTTGAAAATACACAGTCAGAAAAGACAAGAAAAATAATAATTAAAAAATGAAGCATGCCTACAGGATCTAGAAAATAGCCTCAGAAGGGCAAATCTAAGGTTTACTGGGCAGGGTGCGATGGCTCACACTTGTAATACCAACACTTTGGGAGGCTGAGACAAGCAGATCACTTGAGATCAGGAGTTCGAGACCAGTCTGGCCAAGAGGGTGAAACCCCATCTCTACTAAAAATACAAAAATTAGCCAAGTGTGGTGCGGGCGCCTGTAATCCCAGATTCTCAGGAGCCTGAGGCAGGAGAATCACTTGAATCCAGGAGGTGGAAGTTGCATTGAGTCGAGATCACACCACTGCACTCTAGTCTGGGTAACAGAGCGAGACTCTAAAGAAACCCCCAAAAAATGAAAAGTGTTATTGGTCTTCGAGATGAGGTAGAGATGGATATGAGTAGAAAGCGTATTCAAAGAGATAATAACATGAACATCCCAAATCCAGAGAGAGAGATCAGTGTCCAAGGAAAAGAAGGTTATAGGATATCAAGCAGATTTAACCATAAGAAGACTAACTCAAGGAATTTAATAATCAAACTTTTGAAGTTCAAGGATAAAGAAAGGATCCTAAAGGCAGCAAGATAAATGAAACCAATAACATGTAGTGGAGCTTCAATATGTCTGGGAGCAGACTTTTTATTGGAAACTTTATAGGATGGGAGAGAGTGTAATAACATATATAAAGAGCTGGAGGGTGAAAAAAACTTTTACTATAGACTAGTATATACAGTGAAAATATTCTTCAAACATGAAGAAGAAATAACGACATTCTGAGACAAACAAAAGCTGAGAAATTTCATTAATACCAAGACCTTTCTACAAGACATGCTAAAAAGAGTACTTGAATTAGAAAGAAAATTGTATTATTAATCAATAAATCATTACCTGAGGGTACAAAACTCACTAGTAATAGTAAGCACACAGAAAAACACAGAATATTATAACACTGTACTGTAGTGTGTAAACTACTCTTATCCTAAGTAAAAAGACTAAATGATGAAAAAATTTTAAAAAATACAACTTTTTAAATCATAGTCAACACAGTAAGATATAAATAGAAACAATAAAAGTTAAAAAGCAGGGGAACTAAGTTAAGGCATAGATTTTTTTATTAGTTTTCTTTTTGCTTGTTTATGTATTTGTTAATGCAAATAATGTTGTTATTTGTTTAAAATATCAGTTATAAGATAGTATTTGCAAACTTTATGGTAACCTCAAATCAAAAATCCATACAATAAATACACAAAAAAATGGAAAACTAAATATCAACAGAGAAAAATTACCTTCACTAGAGGAAAGCAGAAAGGAAAGAAACAAAGAAAAGAAGGCCACAAAACAACCAGAAAAGAAGTGACAAAATGGCAGGAATAAGTCCTTAGATATCAATAATAACATTAAAGGTAAATGAACCAAACTCTGCAATCAAAAGTTATAGGCTGGTTGTATGGGTAAAAAAAAAAAGATCCATTCATCTGTTGCTTACAAGAAATGCATTTCACCTATAAAGGCACACATAGACTAAAAAAGGGACAGAAAAATATGCCATGCCAATGGAAACCAACAAAGAGCAAGAGTAGCTATACTTATATCAGACAAAATAGATTATAAGACAAAAACTATAAAAAGAGACAAAGAAGGTCATTATATATTGATAAAGGGGTAAATTAAGCAAGAGGACCTAACAATTTTAAATATATATGCAACCAACACTGTAGCACCCGGATATATAAAGCAAATATTATTAGTGCTAAAGAGAGATAGACCCCAATACAATAATAGCTGTAGACTTCAAAAGCCTACTTTCAGTATTGGACAGATTTACGACAGAAAAACCAATAAAGAAACACTGGACTCAATCTATATTATAAATCAAATGGATCTATTATAATAGATATTTATGGAACATTACATCCAACAGTTGCAGAATAGAATACACATTCTGTTTCTCAGAACATGAATCATTCTCAAGGACAGACCATATGTTAGGTCACAAAACAATTCCTAAAACATTCAAAAAATTAAAATAATATCAAGAATCTTATCTGGTAACAATGAAATAAAACTAGAAAATAATAACAAGAAATTAATGAAATAAAACTAGAAATTAATAACAAGAAATTAATTAATAAAAACAAATTAATAAATCTTGGAAGCTATGCATGTATATAGAAATTTAAAAATATGCTCCTAAATCATCAGTGGTTCATTGAAGAAATTAAGAAGGCAATTGATACATTTTTTGAAACAAATGGTAATAGAAAAACAACATACCAAGACCTATGGGATACAGCAAAAGCGGTACTCAGACGCAAGTTTATAGCCATAAGTGCTGCATTAAAAAAGGGAACAGGCTTCAAATAAACAATCTAACATTGTATATTAAAGAACTAGAATACCAAGAGCAAACCAAACTCAAAACTAGTAGAAGAAAATAAATAATAAGGATCTGAAAAGAAATTAATGAAATTGAAATGAAAGGAAAAATACAAAAATAGATATAACAAAAAGTTGTTTTTTACAAAAGATAAACAAAATTGACATACCTTTAGCCATACTAAGAGAAAAAGAGAGAAGGTCTCAGTAAATAAAATCAGAAATTAAAAAGGAGACCCTGCAATGCAAGGCTGGTTCAACATACACAAATCAATAAATGTAATCCAGCATATAAACAGAACCAAAGACAAAAACCACATGATTATCTCAATAGATGCACAAAAGGCCTTTGACAAAATTCAACAGCACTTCATGCTAAAAACTCTCAATAAATTCGGTATTGATGGGACGTATCTCAAAATAATAAAAGCTATTTATGACAAACCCACAGCCAATATCATACTGAATGGGCAAAAACTGGAAGCATTCCCTTTGAAAACTGGCACAAGGCAGGGATGCCCACTCTCACCACTCCTATTCAACATAGTGTTGGAAGTTCTGGCCAGGGAAATCAGGCAGGAGAAGGAAATGAAGGGTATTCAGTTAGGAAAAGAGGAAGTCAAATTGTCCCTGTTTGCAGATAACATGATTGTATATTTAGAAAACCCCATTGTCTCAGCCCAAAATCTCCTTAAGCTGATAAGCAACTTCAGCAAAGTCTCAGGATACAAAATCAATGTGCAAAAATCACAAGCATTCTTATACACCAATAACAGACAAACAGACAGCCAAATCATGAGTGAACTGCCATTCACAATTGATTCAAAGAGAATAAAATACCTAGGAATCCAACTTACAAGGGACGTGAAGGACCTCTTCAAGGCAAACTGCAAACCACTGCTCAAGGAAATAAAAGAGGACACAAACAAATGGAAGAACATTCCATGCTCATGGATGGGAAGAATCAATATCGTGAAAATGGCCGTACTGCCCAAGGCAATTTATAGATTCAATGCCATCCCCATCAAGCTACCAATGACTTTCTTCACAGAATTGGAAAAAAACTACTTTAAAGTTCATATGGAACCAAAAAAGAGCCCGCATCGCCAAGACAATCCTAAGCCAAAAGAACAAAGCTGGAGGCATCACACTACCTGACTTCAAACTATACTACAAGGCTACAGTAACCAAAACAGCATGGTACTGGTACCAAAATAGAGATATAGACCAATGGAACAGAACAGAGCCCTCAGAAATAATACCACACATCTACAACCATCTGATCTTTAACAAACCTGACAAAAACAAGCAATGGGGAAAGGATTCTCTAATAAATGGTGCTGGGAGAACTGGCTAGCTATATGTAGAAAGCTGAAACTGGATCCCTTCCTTACACTTTATACAAAAATTAATTCAAGATGGATTAAAGACTTAAATGTTAGACCTAAAACCATAAAAACCCTAGAAGAAAACCTAGGCATTACCATTCAGGACATAGGCATGGGCAAGGACTTCATGTCTAAAACACCAAAAGCAATGGCAACAAAAGCCAAAATTGACAAATGGGTTCTAATTAAACTAAAGAGCTTCTGCACAGCAAAAGAAACTACCATCAGAGTGAACAGACAGCCTACAGAATGGGAGAAAATTTTTGCAATCTGCTCATCTGACAAAGGGCTAATATCCAGAATCTACAAAGAACTCAAACAAATTTACAAGAAAAAAACAAACAACCCCATCAAAAAGTGGGCAAAGGATATGAACAGACACTTCTCAAAAGAAGACATTTACGCAGCCAACAGACACGTGGAAAAATGCTCACCATCACTGGCCATCAGAGAAATGCAAATCAAAACCACAATGAGATACCATCTCACACCAGTTAGAATGGTGATCATTAAAAAGTCAGGAAACAACAGGTGCTGGAGAGGATGTGGAGAAATAGGAACACTTTTACACTGTTGGAGGGACTGTAAACTAGTTCAACCATTGTGGAAGACAGTGTGGTGATTCCTCAAGGATCTAAAACTAGAAATACCATTTGACCCAGACATCCCACTACTGGGTATATACCCAAAGAATTATAAATCATGCTGCTATAAAGACACATGTACACATATGTTTATTGTGGCACTATTCACAATAGCAAAGACTTGGAACCAACCCCAATGTCCATCAATGATAGACTGGATTAAGAAAATGTGGCACATATACACCATGGAATACTATGCAGCCATAAAAAAGGATGAGTTCATGTCCTTTGTAGGGACATGGATGAAGCTGGAAACCATCATTCTCAGGGAACTATCGCAAGGACAAAAAAGCAAACACCGCATGTTCTCACTCATAGGTGGGAATTGAACAATGAGAACACGTGGACACAGGAAGGGGAACATCACACAGTGGGGCCTGTCATGGGGAGGGGGGAGGCGGGAGGGATAGCATTAGGAGATATACCTAATGTAAATGACGAGTTAATGGGTGCAGCACACCAACATGGCACATGTATTCATATGTAACAAACCTGCACTTGGTGCACATGTACCCTAGAACTTAAAGTATAATAAAAAAAATTAAAAAAGGAAAATTACAACTGGTACTGCAAATATTCAAGGGATCATTAGTGGCTACTATGAGCAATTATATGCCAATAAATTGGAAAATCTAGAAAAACTTGAAAATCTTGTGGGTTCTATACAACCTATCAAGATTGAACTTAATTGAACAGACCAATAACATACAAGACTGAAACTGTAATAAAAAGTCTGGCAGTGAAGAAAACCCCAGGACTTAATGGCTTCACACCTGATTTCTATCAAATATTTAAAGAATAAATAATACCATACCAGTTGTACTCAAACTATTTCCACAACTAGAGGAGAAAATGTTTCTAAACTCGTTCTATGAGGCCAGTATTACCCTGATGTCAAACCTAACAAAGACCCATCAATAAAATAATGCTACAGGCCAATATCTCTGATGAATATTAATGCAAACATTTTCAATAAAATACTAGCAAACTGAATTCACCAGTACATGAGAAAGATCATTTATTATAGATCATTTATTATGACCAAATGCGATTTATCCCTGGGATGCAAGAATGATTCAACATACACAAATCAATCAACATGATACATCATGTCAATGGAATGAAGGATAAAAACCATACAATCATTTCAATTGATGCTGAAAAGGCATTTCATAAAATTCAACATCTCTTAATGATAAAAATCATCAAAAAAAAGAACTAGAAATAGAGAGAACATAGCTCAACATAATAAAAGCCTTATATGACAGGCCCACAGGTAGTATCATACTGAATGGGGATAAACTAAAAGCCTTTCCTCTAAGATCTGGAACATGACAAATATGGCCACTGTCACCACTGTTATTCAACGTAGTACTGGAATTCCTAGCTAGAGCAATTACACAAGAGAAGATATAAAGGGCATCCAAATTGGAAAATAAGAAGTTAAAATATCCTTGTTGGCTGATGATATGATCCTACATTTGGAAAAACCTAAGGACTCCACAGGAAAATTATTTAGAACTGATTGACAAATTTAGCAAAGTTGTAGGATATAAAATCAACATACAAAAATCAATAACATTTCTATATGCCAACAGAGAACAATGTGAAAAAGAAATAAAAAGATAATCCTCTATACAATAGCCGCAAATAAAATTAAACATGAAGGAATTAACCTAACCAAGGCATTGTACACAAAGCCTATAGTTCAATGAGAAAACAGTTTGGTAGATAAGGCAGCTCTACGAGGAAAAGAGCTTGTAGGGATATATTGATAAGTATAGGACTTGGTAAATGTTATTTACTGAATGTTGTTCTTGTATTTGATAAACCTCCAATTCTGATTCTAAAAATTATATTTCCATTTAGAATTTTCATAACAATAGTGAATTGCAACTCTTTCAGTCTTCCAAACAAATCCTTTTTATTATCTTTATTATTCAATGAGAAGCAAAATTCAAGTTTATCATGCCAACTAACCTTTCTCAAGAGAAAGGTATAGCTGTTAATACACAAAGAGTTTTATTTTCTAATGAGAGTTTATCTGTACTCAAAAAAGTAGTTTGTTTTGTTGTTGTCGATTTAAATGTTATATAACTGGTTAACATAAACTTTTTTTTAATGTTTCTGTAGCTTTAGGACAATGACTTTAGACGATTTCTTTTCCTGCATTTTAAAGATTCATGTCATATGTTTTAATTTAATACAACTTATACTTTTTTTCTCTATGTGTGTTTTTCTTTAAAAAGCATCAATGGTGTATATAATATTTATATACATCAAATAGTTAATCAAAATAGTAGTCAAAAGATAATTATTATCTTATTTATCTGTCACAACACTGTGCTAGGCATGGGGTAGCCAAGAGGCAAATTGTATAATATGCTGAAAGGAAACATATTATTTGTTTTATATAAAATATACTGAAAAATAATTATGTGTTACAGTACATGACTCTGTTAGAGCAACAATAATAGAGAAAAAAACATAGAATGGATATCAACTGGAATCATTCAGCTTGAAAGGGGACTCCAAGCAGAGATACTACTTACATAACAGAAAGATGGAGAGCAGGATGTTTTCGATTTCATTCTAAAAATGATAAGTTAACAGCCTTCTAAAAGGTTAACAATTAGACTTTATCTGTCATACCAATTGTAATCATTACTAGAGAATGCCAAATATGTGGAGTAGGATTCCACGGTCACATACATTTTCAGAAGGAAATCGTTCCAGGTTGTGATAGAAAAGTATTCTAGGATATGGGAGAAAGGGATGAAAGCACATGTGGCATATATTTACTATCCCTGGAGAATATATGTAAGCAACATCTAGTATAAAAAGAGAAAAGAATCATGTGCAAAAATATGGAGGTGATCCTTAATGTACTGTGTTGGAAGGATACTCAATAAATTGACAGTTTTGATTTATAAAAATTTATGTTAGAAACTATAAGAAAATGATTTATTCTTTTTCTCTGCACCTCACTGTTTGTCAACCAGTGTATTTATTGGTCAACCTTTGCCCTTTACTATAATACTTTTACTGTTCCTAACATCTTAGTTTCCTTCACTCTATTTTACCAGTGTTTTTAAATCAAAGGCTGCATCATGAAATGGAAGTTATAATTAAAGAGAAGGAAGCATATCTACTCCTTGTGTTTGGGACTAGAGAGGGAACTGACAAGTGGGAGTGAAGAACTGCCCAAATAGATTACAATTTACAGGAGTAAGTTGCTCACCGCTCCTCACTGCAACCTTGTTTTAAAATTTCCCTGTTGCTCTTCCTTCCATATACACACACAGCTTGAACATTCTAAACTGCTTGCAATTTAAGAAGAGGTCCTTTTTACCTCTTTCCCATATTCAGCTTCTGCCTGTAATGGTTCATTGCCTATCCCTACATTCCCAATCCCACCCTTCCTAAATCTGCACTGCTATTATGATTATTGAATAATTTAATTCAATTTAGGTTCTAATTTTTTGCAGTTTCCATATCCTAAGCCAAATAAATCAGGTATCCATCTGATCCATTAATATACTGTGCATATAGACTTTTTAAAGCTCTTTTTTTTACATTGTTTTGCCTCTCAATACATCTCTCTTCCCACTAATTGGTGAGCTCTTTTATAACAGGGACATTCTCTTGTATTTGGAGTGTCTCAAACAGTGACTAAGAAGCATACAGTAGCTGTTGAATAAATATTTGTTCAAAAGATAAAAGTACATTTAAAATAAAACATTCTCTAATCTCATTTATTGAAAGAATTGTGCTTTCATTGAACAGAAAAAGCTCACAAAGCATTTCTATTGCACTTGTTTCTGACTTAACTAGCTCTGTGATTATAACTTCCTTTATTGCTCTGTTAAGTTCTTTGTTCAAGACACAAAGTTATAAAAAATAGCATTTGGGCTCTCTTCCCAAAATCTAATGAAACTTTGAGGAGAACACATTACATTAATCAGTTTTCCTGTTAGTATGTACATGCAAAGTGTATTCCACTCTCCTAAGTAAATTATCAGTTTGATTAAACACTTATATTATAAATGATTGTAAAATTAATGAAAACTGTTATGTTTTAAAGTAGAAATATATTAATTTTTGAAATCAGAAAATGAATGAACATTGTCTATGAATATTACAGAAATAATCATGAGAAAAATGCAAAATATTTCAATAACATTCGCATTTAAAAATATATGTAACTATATTTTTCCAGGTTAATAAAGTTATAACAGAAAAATAAATATTGTATATATTTAAAGTGTACAACATGATGATTTGTTATATATACACACACACACACACATAATGTATTATGGAATGATTACCAAAACCAGGCTAATTAATACATCCATCACCTCACATAGATACCCTTTTTATAGTAGTGAGATCTCTTAAGATCTACTCTTAGTAAATTTCAAATAAACACTATCGTGTTATTAACTATAGTCATCATGCTGTATATTAAATGCCCAGAATTTAATTATGTTATAGTTTAAATGTATTCTTTGAATCAACATCCCTCGACCCCACCTGGAAATCAATATTTAACTCTCTAGCTATATGAGTTCAACTTTTTTGGATTTCACATAAAAATGTAATCATATAGTATTTCTTTTTCTTTCTTTCTGTGTCTTGAATTTAGCATAATGTTCTCCAGCTTCATCCATTTTTTCACAAATGTTAGGTTTTCCTTGCTTTTTATGTTTGAATAACATTCTGGTGTGTGTGTGTGTGTGTATCAAATTTTCCAAAATCATATCAAATAATTACCAAAATTATACCAAATTTTGTTTAACCATTCATCTGTCAATGGACACTCAAGTTGTTTGTATAACTTGGCTATTGTGAATAATGCTGCAATGAACATAGGAATGCAGATATCTCTTTAGAGATTGATTTTTCTTTGTATAATGCCTAGAACTGGAATTGCTGGATAATAAGGAACTTCCATTTAAATTTTTTGAAGAATTTTCATACTCTTTTTCATAATTGGTCTACCAATTTATAATTTGCATTCACCAAGAATGTACAAGGGATCCGTTTCTCTACACCCTAGTCAATACCTATCTCTTGTCTTTTGATTACAGTCATTCTAAGAGGTGTGAGGTGATATCTCATGGTATTTATCTGCATTTCCATGATTAGTGATGTTGAGCACCTTTTCATGTAACTGTTAGACATTTGTATGTCTTCTTTCAAAAAATGTCTATTCATGTCCTTTGCCTATTTGTTGTTGTTACTTGCTATTGATTTCTATGAATTTATTTGGTCTGGATATGAACCCGTTAACATATATATGATTTACATTTTTTTCTCATTCCAAAGGTTGCCTTTTCATTTTAATGATTATTTCCTGTGGTGCGAAGAAACTTTTTAGTTTAATATGCCTCACTTGTTTATTTTTGCTTTCATTGCCAATACTTTGGTGTCACTTCCAAAAAAATCATTGGCACCACCAAAGTCAAGTTTATCCTTTTTTTCTAAGTATTTTATGGTTTCAGGTCTTATATTTAAGTCTTTAATTAATTTCAATATAATTTTTGTAAGGTAGGTGTCTAATGTCATTCTTCTGGCTGTGCACATCCAGGTTTTTCAGCATCATTTAATGATGAGTATACGTTACTGTTTGTGTGTTCTTAGAGATCTTGCCAAAAATTAGTTGGCCATATGAACCTGGGTTAATTTCTGGGCTCTCTAATCTGTTTTATTTGTCTATGTGTCTCTTTTTATGCTAGGTCCATACTGTTTCGATTACTGTAGCTTTGCTATAGCTTTGTAATATGAAATTACGAGAGGTGTAATGCCTCCAGTTTTGTTCATTTTACTCAAGATTGCTTTTGCTATTTGAGGTCTTTTGTAGTTCCATACAATTTTACAATTGATTTTTTCTGTCTCTGTGAAAAATGACATGGGAATATTGGTAAGGATTGCATTGAATCTATAGATTACTATAAGGGTATAGACATTTTAACAATATTAATTTTTCAAATCTGAGACTATTGGGTATTATTTTTTCATTTATTTGTGGTCTTCTTCAGTTTCTTTCATTAACGTCTTTTAGTTAATGCACAGATTAATTAATGAACTGATCTTTCTGTTCCTCAGCTAATTTATTACTAAGTATATAATTTATTACTAAGTATGGAATTGTTTCTTATTATAAATGGAACTGTTTCCTCAATTTCCTTTTTAGGTAGTTTGTTGTTAGTATATGGAAAAGCAGCTAATATTTTTATGTTGATTTTGTATCCTGTAACATTACTAAACTAGATTATTGGTTGTATTAGATTTTGGTACAGTCTTTAGGGTTTTCTATATGTAAGATCATGTCATCTGCAATCAGAAACAATTTAACTTCTTCCATTCTGCTTTGGATGCAATTTTTTTCTTGTCTAATTGCTCTGTCTAGGACTTCCAGTATTAGGTTTAATAGACGTGGTAAGATTGGGCACCTTTGTCTAGTTCCTAATCTCGGGGAAAAAGTTTTCATCTTTACACCATTGATTATGATGTTATTTGTATGCTTTTTATATATGGCTCTTATTTTGTTGAGGTCTATTCTCTTGATACCTAATCACCAAATGATGTTGAATATTGTCAAATGATTTTTTTTTGCATGTATTGGGAAGATCATATGACATTCATTATTCTGATAAGGTGGCTTATTATGTTATTGATTTGCATATGTTGACACATATTTAATCATGGTGAATAGTCCTTCCAATGTGCTGTTTAATTTGGTTTACTAGTATTTTGTTAAGGATATTTTATATATGTGTTTGTCAGGGTTATTGGTCTGCAATTTAATTTTTTTGTAGTGTCCTTGTATGGCTTTGGTACGAGGCTAATTCTGGCCTTGTAAAATGAGTTTGGACATATTCCATGCTCTTCAATTTATTGGAAGACTTTGAGAAGGATTGGTATTAATTCCTCTTTAAATTTTGATAAAATTCATCCATGAAATCTGGTCCTAGGTTTGTCTTTATTGGGTGTTTTTTTAATTCTATTTCAATCCCATTATTCCTTATTCATCTATTCAGATATTCTATTTCTTTATGGTTTAGTCTTGTTAGGCTGTATGTTTTTAGGAATTTATTCATTTCCTCTAGATTATTCAACTTGCTGGTGTATAATTGTTCATCTGTCGTCTCTTACTGTTAATCTCAGTCGCTTATAATTGTTCATCTGTTCATATGTAGTCTCTTTGTATTTCTGTGGTATCAGTTGTAATGTTATTTACATTATAATTTTATTGTTTATGTCCTCTGGTGTTTTTTTGTTTGTTTGTTTAGCTAAAGGCTTGTCAGTTTTGTTTATCTTTTCAAACCAACTCTTAGTTTTATTGATATTTTAAAATTGTCTTTCTAGTCTCTATTTCATTTATTTCTGATCTGATTCTCATTATTTTCTTTCTTAAGCTAACTTAGAGTTTAGTTTTTTCCTCTTTTTCTAGTTTCTTGAAACATAAATTTATATTTTTTATTTAATATTTTTTTCTAATGTATTTATTGCTAAAAATTTCTCTTTTAGAACTAACTCTTTTTAATAATTTAAGCATGAGTTTTGGCATGTTGTATTTCTGTTTTCATATTTCTCAAGATACTTTTTGATTCTCTTTTGATTGATCCATTGGTCGTTCAGAATGTAGTATTTAATTTCCACATATTCAGAATTTTTCAATTTTCTTTCTGTTATTGATTTCCATTTATGTACCATTATAGTTGGAAAGGACACTTGATATTACATTATTCCAATCTTTTAAAATGTGTTGGAATTTTTTTTATCTAACACATGATCTATTTTGGAGAATATTCTATGTGAGCTTGAGAATTTGTATTCTGCTATGTTGATTGGGATGTTCTGTACAAGTCTGTTAGGTTCAGTTGGTCAGTAGTGTTATTTAAGCCTGCTGTCTCCTTATTGATTTTATGTCTGAATGATTATCCACTGTTGAAAGTGGGGTTTTAAAGTCTACTATTATTATTGTATTGCTGTTTATTTCTTGGTTCAGTTCTTTTAATAATTGCTTTATATAGTTAGGTGTTCTCATGTTGGATGCATATGTATTTGCAATTCTTATACCTTCTTGATGAATTAAGCCCTTTATCATTATTTATGACTTTCTCAGTCTCTTGTGATGGATTTTGACTGAAAGACCATTTTGTCAAATTTAAGTATAGCCACACCTTCTCAATTTTTGTTACCATTTGCTTGGAATATCTCTGTCTTTCACTATCAGCTCAAGTGTGTCATTAAAGATGAAGGAAGTCTTTTCTAGGTAGCATATTGTACATGTCGGCTTTCTATGCATTCAGACACTCTGTGTCTTTGACAGGATAATTTAAATTTACATTTAAAGAAATATTGATAGGTAAGAACCCACTATTGCCTTTTTGAGAATTCTTTTCAGTTTTGTTACTCATTTGTCCCTTTCTTCCTCCCTTGCTATCTTCCTATGTAATTTGTTGATTTATTTTAGTGGTAGGCTTTGATTTCTTCACTATATCTTTTGAGTATTTGCCAGGGATTATTTCTTCGTGGTTGCCATGAACCTTACATAAAATATTTTAGAGTTGTAAGAGTCCATGTTCAATTGATAACAACCTAACTTCAGTTGCATGCAAAATTGCTACACTTTTACTTCCCTTATCACCACACAGTAAATTATTGATGTTACACTTTACATGCTTCTATGTTACATATGCATTTAAAATTATTGTAGCTATCATAATTTCAAAATACTTGTTTCTTTCAACTTTTATACTAGAGTTAAAAGTGATTTACACATCACTATCCAGTATTAGAATACTCTGAATTTACTATATATTTACATTTACCAGTGAATTTTATACTTTTATGTGAATCTTTTTTTTTTCTTCTCTGTGTCATTTCTTTGGAACTTGAAGAACTCCCTCTAGTATTTCTTGTAAAGCAGGTCTAGTAGTAATAAACTCTCAGCTTTTATCTGCTGAGAATTTTATATACAGCCTATGGACATACAGTTGTATATGACAATTCTCTTTTCTCTTGCTGCTTTCAAAATTATCTCTTTGACTTTGGCTTTTGACAATTTGATTATAGTGTGTCTCAGGACAATCTATTTTGCATTGATTTTGCTTGTGTGAACTTTTAAGCTTCCTGAATCTAGATGTCTATATCTTTCTCAAGATTGAGAACTTTTCAGCCATTATTTCTTTAAATAAGATTCTCATTTTTTTCTCCCTCTCCATTCTCTGCTTGAGACTTCCACAATGCATATATGATTTGTTGGATGATTCCCCATAAGTCCCACATAGTTAATTCACTCTTATTTATTCCCTTTTTACTTTTTTTCTTCACGGGCTAATTTCTAATAATCGGACGTCAAGTTCACTGATTTTTTTCTTTCATCTGACCGATTCTGCTGTTTAAACTCACAATTAAAATTTTTCAATTCTTTGTATTATTCAGCTCCAGATTTTCTGTCCCATTATTTGTTATAGTCTCAATATCTTTAATAAGCTTCTCTTTCTTTATGTGTTGTTTTTCTGATTTCGATTAGTTGTCTGTATGTCCTTTCTTCCATCCCTTTGAGCTCTGTAAGATCATTATGAATTTGTAGATCTCTATTTCTTTGTGGTGGCTATAGGAGCTTTAATAGTTTCCTTCCATGGTGTTGCGTTTGCCTGCTTCTTCAAAATGCATCTAGACTTGTGTTGGTGTCCGTACATTTGAAGGAGAAAATACCTTTTTTATCTTTACAGAATAGCTTCAACAGGTAAAAGCCTCCCCCTGTGGGCACCTGGACTTATCAGATTGCCTCAAATTGCAGCTGTGCTCAGATGGAGCCAGGTTATATGATTGCTGCTGTGTCTGCAGTGGGGTCCATGTGGTAAGTCTGCCACCAGGGACTAAGGCAAATGTCACTTGCTTGGTCCCTGGGTGGACAAGATACCTTCAGAACCTTGGATAGTCAGCTTAGTGCTGGACAAAAGTCTGCTTCAGAGACAGCAGTTCAGCCTGAAGATGGCAGGCTTATTACCAGGTACGTGAAAGAGTGTGGCTTTAATCAAGTCATTGGATGGATTCCTGGGAGAAAAGGCCTGAAACCATGGCTAAGAGGGTCTGAAACCAGGTAACAGGGATTCTTCAATGTCCGCAGCCATCACCAAGCCCTGCAGGCCTACCTCTGGGTATATGGAATATCTGGTTCATTGGAGGGCATAACTTCCTTCAGACTACGACTGAGCAAGACTGGAGCCAGGTTATACAGCTGCTTCAGGTTCCATAGTTGAACCAAGATTAGTGGCCCTGCCTTTGGGAATGTGGAGGAGTTTGTCTCCCACTGGGTCTTTGGGTGGTGAAGACTACTCTGGACCATGGCTGAGAAGGGGCTGGAGTTAAGTTACAAAGCCACTTCTGAGTCCACAGCCAGGACCAATGTAAGTGGGCCTGTTACCTGAGATACAGGTAGTCATTGCTCCTCCTTGGTCCCTTAGCTGATGGTGGTAGTGGTAGGGCAGAGGCCAAATGGGGTTGTGGCTGAGTGCACAGAAAGATGGACTGTTTCTACATCTGAAGTCAGGATTATGATTGGTGGACCTGCCCTCTGCGTAATGTCCTGTATTCTCAAAACACCCTTCCTCAGTTTTGGGTAGCCCTGGGTTTTGCAACCCCCTACCTGGATCTCAAAGCTCCAACTAAAGCAATTTTGTTTGTAAATTGCTGCCAAGTTACTATTGCTATGGAGAAATACAAGTGGAGGATGTGCTATTCCATCATCTTACTCTACATTCACTGCATTTTATGTCATAGCCTCATAGAACAAGAGGGATTTTAAATTTAATTTGTTCCATGTCTTTTATTTTACACTCTATAGATGAGGAAAACAAAGCTCTAAAAGTATAGAGGGATTTTACCAACATGAGATAATAATTTAGTAATAATATAATAGACCACCTAATTACTAACCTAGCGGTCTTTCCAGTGTAGACAATGTTACTTCAAAGATTTCAGTGATGTGGCATTTTTCTGCTTTACCGAAGACTTTCTCTGGATTTCCCTAATCTGACCAATAAACCAAAGGGCATTTCTTCCTTCGAAGTAGTCAATGCTAAAGAGAAAATATTTCATCTAAATTACTAGTTTCAAGGGAAATAATTTTCATGGAAAACAAAAAGAGGGATGGAGTGGGGGAGAAAAGCAATTTTGTACCCAAGTCCACACTTAATATCATTAATAGGTTCTTGGAAACTGCAGCTTTAAGTAAAAACAAAGTATAGCAGGTTCTTGAATAACATCATTTCCTTAAACATTTTTCATTATAAAATTGAGGATAAAAAATTGGTTTTGTTATATATAGCTTCACATAAAGTCTCTCTTCATGTAACAAGATCTGGAGAGAGGGGGAATGGAATACAAGTTTAACAAAAGCAGAACATTTTCAGCAGTTGTTTGGACTCTTTGATCATTAAGCTCTCAGAATGAATGCAAGAAAAGAGTACAGGAAAGAAAAAAAAAAGGAGTTTCCCTTATGAAGCTTGTGGACATTGATGAATAGGAAAAATAGGCATTTGGTTTCCCAACACTTTTTTTGGTGTAAGCATTTAGTAGATGCTACCTATGTCACCAGACTTGGGAAGAACAGTTCAAGTGGTGGTATGGTCGGCCTTTGCATACAAAGTACCCCTGCCATTCCTGCAGTACATATGTGATGGGGCAGATTTGCCCCAGGTTTCCCATGATTTCAGCTTGGGGGATGTGTTGAGAATGGTGGTTAACAGGCTTGCCATAGTGTGTAGTATGGAATAAAGGGATGAACATTAGAGAAAGACCTTGTGATTGTCACCAGCTGGGGGGTGAAAAAAAGGAGCAGCTGAATTTCTCAGGAGTTCTCAATACTAAGGGAAATAAGTAGGAATAAACATGTGCCTAAAGCAGCCATCGTTTTAGACCAGGTCAGCCCTCAAAAGACATGAATATATTTAATTTCACTGATAGCCATTCTTCCTCATTTCTACTTCCAGAGAATTGAAAGTATGGCAGAGAAGCTAAAAAAAAGAAAAAACAAAACTGAAAGACATTTAATATGCTTCAGTTAGGATATTTAATGTGTACTTTGTTTAGCATAATTAATAATGAATTTGGAAAAAAATCGCTAGTTTCTACTAAATAGTCCTATAAAAAAAGTCATGAGGAAATCACCGGCTAAAAGAATATTCTTTCACCCTTGAAATACGTGTGTTTCTAAAAGTAGAACTTATTATTCAGTTATTCAAAGCATGGATTGTAGGATCTAGTGGATTAGTGAACTGAGTTAATTCACTAAACAATGTAAGAGGTTAAAACTGGGAGCTCAGCAAAGTCAAGCCTTGTAGTAAAAAATACCTTAGTCACTTCAAGACTGCAGATAGGCCACAACTTTCTGACCTGATATGAAAAATCAGTAGCTTTTCCATCACATAAAAATTAAGTATGTTAATAAAAATTTAGTAAAATTTCATAGAAGACAAATTTTATTTAAAAATTCAAGTTACAAATTCAAAATTGTGAACATCTGAACATGTATTAAAATGAGTTTTATTCTTTCCTAATTTGAATCTAAAGAGATATGAGGCATTATTTTCCACTTTGGAAAATAATATATTATCAAGTAATTTTAAAAAATTATAAAATTATATTTTATAATTCACACATTTCTTAAAATGATATTTATTTCTCTATATCTACATACATTCATTCTATTTATCTTTGGCAACTCAAAATTATCACTTAAAAATCAATTTTTTTTTTACTGTATCACCTTGTTTCTTACCCATAGTATCTTTTCTTATTTCTGTTAAAGGCATCTCCAGCCATCCAATGTTCGAAAGTGAAAATTTTGTATTTGTCTCTGAGTCCTCACACTCTTACACTCCTGCTATTCAGCTAGCATTTCCATCTTACTGATATTTAACTCAAAGTTATTGTTTTAATCTAGCTTTTCTTTTTCTGATTTAATGAAATTGCTTTCTCTCCTTTATCTCCCACTTGGGCTATTATATCTGTTCACTGGTTTCTGGTACTAGGCCCTCCCTACGCCAGTATATCTTCTATTGTCTTGTTTTCAGTTTCCTCATTGTGCTTCTCTTACTTTATAGCTAAAAACCCTTTGTATGGCTACAGAAAAAAATCCAAACTGACTAAACAGACATTAAAAAAACTAACAAATTTTAGCTCAAATTACCATTTTAGGTTATTCTTCAAGTTCCTCTTCAATTTTCATTATTAATTCATGCAACAATTCCTTTTTAGGTCAAACACTTTCTTGACATTCTACCTGTTATTACTTGAAACGCACTTTCTACTCATTCTTTGGTCCCCAATTTAATGCAAATCTTTCCCTATTTCCCAAGAGAAGAAATGTAGAGATGGTTAATCTTCCTATCCACCATTCCCTATTTACAATATCATTTCAAGCTGCACTTTTTATTGTAATATTAATTTAAAGTCTCAGTTTTTACTAGATTACTATGAGATCAATGTTCAGGCCAAATTTTCTAATTTTTTTGTTTAGCACGTAACAGATCCTGGAGATCAGTAGATGCTAAATAGATTGCTTTAATGAATAAAGGGTTTATTTAAATGAGAATATTAAATGAAGAAAAACTTTGATAGTTATGCATGTTTATTTTATTTATTTTCTTTCTTTTTTTTATTATTATTATACTTTTAAGGTTTAGGGTACATGTGCACATTGTGCAGGTTAGTTACATATGTATACATGTGCCATGGTGGTGCGCTGCACCCACTAACTCGTCATCTAGCATTAGGTATATCTCCCAATGCTATCCCTCCCCCGTTCCCCCACCCCACAACAGTCCCCAGAGTGTGATTTTCCCCTTCCCGTGTCCATGTGATCTCATTGTTCAATTCCCACCTATGAGTGAGAATATGCGGTGTTTGGGTTTTTGTTCTTGCAATAGTTTACTGAGAATGATGATTTCCAATTTCATCCATGTCCCTACAAAGGACATGAACTCATCATTTTTTATGGCTGCATAGTATTCCATGGTGTATATGTGCCACATTTTCTTAATCCATTCTATCATTGTTGGACATTTGGGTTGGTTCCAAGTCTTTGCTATCGTGAATAATGCCGCAAAAAACATACGTGTGCATGTGTCTTTATAGCAGCATGATTTATAGTCCTTTGGGTATATACCCAGTAATAGGATGGCTGGGTCAAATGGTATTTCCAGTTCTAGATCCCTGAGGAATCGCCACACTGACTTCCACAATGGTTGAACTAGTTTACAGTCCCATCAACAGTGTAAAAGTGTTCCTATTTCTCCACATCCTCTCAAGCACCTGTTGTTTCCTGACTTTTTAATGATTGCCATTCTAACTGGTGTGAGATGGTATATCATTGTGGTTTTGATTTGCATTTCTCTGATGGCCAGTGATGATGAGCATTTTTTCATGTGTTTTTTGGCTGCATAAATGTCTTCTTTTGAAAAGTGTCTGTTCATGTCCTTTGCCCACTTTTTGATGGGGTTGTTTGTTTTTTTCTTGTAAATTTGTTTGAGTTCATTGTAGATTCTGGATATTAGCCCTTTGTCAGATGAGTAGGTTGTGAAAATTTTCTCCCATTTTGTAGGTTGCCTGTTCACTCTGATGGTAGTTTCTTTTGCTGTGCAGAAGCTCTTTAGTTTAATTAGATCCCATTTGTCAATTCTGTCTTTTAAGAAATGGATAAATTCCTCGACACATACACCCTCCCAAGACTAAACCAGGAAGAAGTTGAATCTCTGAATAGACCAATAACAGGATCTGAAATTGTGGCAATAATCAATAGCTTACCAACCAAAAAGAGTCCAGGACCAGATGGATTCACAGCCGAATTCTACCAGAGGTACAAGGAGGAACTGGTACCATTCCTTCTGAAACTATTCCAATCAATAGAAAAAGAGGGAATCCTCCCTAACTCATTTTATGAGGCCAGCGTCATTCTGATACCAAAGCCAGGCAGAGACACAATCAAAAAAGAGAATTTTAGACCAATATCCTTGATGAACATTGATGCAAAAATCCTCAATAAAATACTGGCAAAACGAATCCAGCAGCACATCCAAAAGCTTATCCACCATGATCAAGTGGGCTTCATCCCTGGGATGCAAGGCTGGTTCAATATACGCAAATCAATAAATGTAATCCAGCATATAAACAGAGCCAAAGACAAAAACCACATGATTATTTCAATACATGCAGAAAAAGCCTTTGACAAAATTCAACAACCCTTCATGCTAAAAACTCTCAATAAATTAGGTATTGATGGGATGTATTTCAAAATAATAAGAGCTATCTATGACAAACCCACAGCCAATATCATACTGAATGGGCAAAAACTGGAAGCATTCCCTCTGAAAACTGGCACAAGACAGGGATGCCCTCTCTCACCACTCCTATTCAACATAGTGTTGGAAGTTCTGGCCAGGGCAATTAGGCAGGAGAAGGAAATAAAGGGTATTCAATTAGGAAAAGAGGAAGTCAGATTGTCCCTGTTTGCAGATGACATGATTGTATATCTAGAAAACCCCATTGTCTCAGCCCAAAATCTCCTTAAGCTGATAAGCAACTTCAGCAAAGTCTCAGGATACAAAATCAATGTACAAAAATCACAAGCATTCTTATACACCAACAACAGACAAACAGAGAGCCAAATCATGAGTGAACTCCCATTCACAATTGCTTCAAAGAGAATAAAATACCTAGGTATCCAACTTACAAGGGATGTGAAGGACCTCTTCAAGGAGAACTACAAACCACTGCTCAAGGAAATAAAAGAGGATACAAACAAATGGAAGAACATTCCATGCTCATGGGTAGGAAGAATCAATATCGTGAAAATGGCCATACTGCCCATGGTAATTTACAGATTCAATGCCATCCCCATCAAGCTACCAATGACTTTCTTCACAGAATTGGAAAAAACTACTTTAAAGTTCATATGGAACCAAAAAAGAGCCCAAGTCGCCAAGTCAATCCTAAGCCAAAAGAACAAAGCTGGAGGCATCACACTACCTGACTTCAAACTATACTACAAGGCTACAGTAACCAAAACAGCATGGTACTGGTACCAAAACAGAGATATAGATCAATGAAACAGTACAGAGCCCTCAGAAATAACGCCGCATATCTACAACTATCTGATCTTTGACAAACCTGAGAAAAACAAGCAATGGGGAAAGGATTCCCTATTTAATAAATGGTGCTGGGAAAACTGGCTAGCCATATGTAGAAAGCTGAAACTGGATCCCTTCCTTACACCTTATAGTTATGCATGTTTAAAATATTTACCTTCAGAAGAATAAATAAAAGAAATGGCAAAAACATTAAAATATTGAATTAAAAATTATATTTTTTGGAAAATATTTTATATAACATTTTAGAAAATATATCATTTCAATAAAAGTAACTCAGTTTATCTGAAATATAAATGACAAGACTTTATCAAAAGTTGCTCTTGATACAGAAAATAAAGTGTAAAATAATTTTATACATGAGCAGCTTAAATGTGTAATATTAATGTTTTCTTTATGTTATATAAATGTTCAGTTTGTTCAGTTCTTCAGGCTTACACATCTGTCTCGTTCTGATGGAACTGTTTAGATTCTTTTATTGATAGATATAAATAGCAGCAGCAAATGCTGAAATTCCCTATTATTTGTTGAAGATTTACTTTTTATAGGAGATAAAGACTTCTTTTATCCAAAGGCACTACAATGAATGAATTATTTTATTAAGCAATATCCCTTTTTATTATTTTTGTTAGATAAGACTTTGATTTCCTTGTGTTATTTACAACTTAATAGTTTTAAGGAGTAAATATTATAGTTTATTTCTAGCCTTTAGAAGACAACAGATTTCATATAAATGTAGAAACCCTTGAGAAGCACGGTGTCCAAAATGCTTTATGTTATCTCAATAATTATTTATACACTATTTTTGAAGCACGTAATAATAAATAAAAAGTTTCTACATGCTTAAATTTTTTTTGGTACTTTGTTATCAGTAAGAAATATCACAACCCACACTTTAACAACATACATCAAGGTTCTTTCATATTTCATTCATCTGCTCAAACCTGTAAATTTTTTCTGAGTTGTAACTCCACCCTCATGCCAACTACCATTTATCACATTAAAGGGTTACTATGGCTGATTCCAGTTGTTCATGGTCTTAGCGTACAACCACTTGTCCCCATTTCTTTGTGTCACATTGATCATGCTCTCATATTTCTTTGGTTTCTTACATCCTTACTCATTCGCTTTCTTTTGGTCCAAGTCAATTTACATTAATTCAACAGAACTCAATCCAGAATCTTAATAATTCAGTAACTATCTGAATTAGATTAACAGTATCCTAACAAAACCACTCTTACATAGTAAGGTAAGCAATATGTACTTTCACAGAAAATATTTAAAACATTAAAGAGGTCAAATTGCCTTCAATCCCTCTCAGACCCTGGAAAATATCATTCACATTAAAACAAATTAAATTTTTTTCCATTTTATTTTTTTCCATTTTATTTTTTTCAATAAGTGGGTCTTCTAAGAATCTTTATAAGGGGAAATTTATTTGACTTGTTAAAAATATATTTTATTTTTTAAAGTATTTTATAAGTCATCAGATGTTTAACAGTTATTCTAAGAGAATGATTTTTATTTAGACAAATTTGTAAATTCATTTTTGTTAATTAACATTAATACATTGAAATTATTCATCATTAATTTTGATTTTTCTTATTTTTGTTCAACAATTTTATACAGTTTATAGGCACTTTTAGTTGTTTATAATAAAAATTATAGTAATGTTTTAAAATATATTTTTAATAATACTAGTACAGTTTCTTGTACCCAGGTGCTAATGGGCTAAATTGTGTCCCCTCAAAATATGTATGTTGAAGCCCTAAACCCCAGTATCTCAGTGTACTTGGAGATGGGCCTTTAACGAGGGGATTAAAATAAGGTCCTTAGAATGGGCTTAGATCCAATCTGACTGGCTTTCGTATAAGAAGAGGAAGTTAGAACACACAAGGAGATACCAAAGATGAAGAAGAACAAGGTAATCTGCAAGCTAAGGAGAGAAGCCCCAAGAGAAACAAAACCTGGCAACACCCTGATTCGGATGTCTAGCTTCCAAACCTGTAAGGAATTAAATTTCTGTTGTTTAAGCCACCAGTCTGTGGTATGTTGTTAAGGCAGCCCTAGCAAACTAATGCAATAGATTTTGTGTGTGTGTATGTGAGGGTTATTACTCTTTTTCAGAATATTTGTTTTCATAGGAGATGGTATATGAAAGCATAGGCTTTGTTTACAAACAAATATAGGTAAAAATCTCAACACAGCTACTTAGTTGCCTGATTTACTAAGACTCACTGAACTTCGATGAGCCCATTTATACATAGGAATAATTTCAGCCATATAATAAGGGTATCTGAATATTAAATATGTTTCATATAGTAAGGTAATTGAAATCATTACTTCACTGTTCATTTTCATGCTGGAAGACTGTTTACTTTGGGAAAATTTCTGTTCTCCTTAACCAAAATATTTACCTGTCATTTAAAAGTTATTTTTAAGAGATTAGCTTTTTTGTTTTATTTTCTCTTGCTGATCTTTTTGAATAGGTCTCATATATTAAAGGTTACCCTTTTAAAGCCCAGTACTCTAGATTAGCAATGATTATTAATATACTCTAAATGACACAATACACAGTTACAATAAATAACATCAATTACATTGGTAACTTATAGATATGTGTTGTTTATTTTTCAAAACAGGTATAACTCACTGAAGTGCAAAATTATTAATCCTTTAATATTTCATCTGTGTTGTTCTATTTAAATTTAAATTAACAACATTAAATTAAAATTTTAGTTCGTTAGTCATGCTAGCCACTATTCTTTTACCCAGTTGCCACATGTGGCTAGCAGCTAAAATATTGATTAGTGCAGGTGTAGAACATGTCCATCATCTCAGAAAGGTTTATCAAATCGTGCTGTTAGTTGTTAATAACCACAATAAGCATACAAAACAAAGTTGAAATTATTAAGGAAATCAAGAGATTTAAATTCCATTATTACTTGCACTCAATTCTCAAAATGAATTTAAACTATTCATAAAATAATATATAGCTTAATTTTGAGAATATGAAATGTACACACTTCTATGTATAAATAAGCATTACAAAGTAAAGATTACTTTTTTATACTAAAATTAAAATATGTCATTAAACTTGACTTCATTTCCTTTTTGATAATCATTGAAATAGAGAATTAAATGATGTTTATTAAGACTCCCTCTGGCACTCAATACTTCAAAATGTGTTTAGCCTGATCGGATATCAAAGAAGAAAAAGAAAACAAATAGTTGAAAGAACATTCATATTAATTTATCTTAATAAAATGTGTATTCATGGATATCAATTTTTATTATATTCTGCATCCTACAGAATTACAACAAGGATATTATAGAAATAGCTCACATAGTTCAAAGTGAATGGGAGTGGATACTCAGGATATTCATGAAGAGCCATTGCAGAAAAAAGAATGCATTGCAATGATATTTCATTTTTAAACAATGTAACACCTAAAAAGTAAAATAATATATCAAGACTAAACCATTATTATGATTTCTTCCTAGGACTATAATACTGGTGCATTAAATGTCATTATAAAAAATGTTTAGAATATTTTATTAATTAGTGGTATTATAAAGTAGCATACATTTGTATATTGTTTGTGGTTTATCAGATTTTCAAAATTAGTGGACTTTATTGAGTAGTTTTAGGTTTGCAGAAAGTAGAAAATTTCTATATGTCGCCTCAATCCTCCATTCCAGTTTCTAATGCTTATTAACATTTTGCATTAGTGTGGTGAATTTGTTACAACTGATGAGCCAAAATTGATGCATGATTACCAGGCAAAGTCCATGGTTTATACCAAGGCTTGCCTTTTGTGTTCTACATTCTATGACATTTGGCAACTGTAGAATGACACGTATTCATCATTAAAGCATTATACATAATAGCTTGACTGCCCTAAAAAATCCCTCTTCTCCATCTACTCATCCCTTTATTCCTCCACCTAAACTCCCTACAACCACTAATCTTTTTACTGTTTCCAGAGTTTTGCCTTTTCCTAAATGTAATATAGTTGGCATTTTATACTATATACCTTTTTATATGGGCTTCTTTCGTTTTGTAATATTTATTTGAGGTTTTTACATGCCTTTACACAGCTGCATAGCACATTTCATTTTTAATTTAAATTTTTATTCCATGCAATCCATCAAGATTATTTTATACTTTGTATTTTGAGATATATTAAGAATAATCGCAAAGGTAGTACAAGAAAGTTATCATATGCTGTTCACTCAGCTTCTCCAATATTGATTCTAACTAGAATACAATAGTCAAAATGACAAAATTAAGAAGGCAATATAATGCTATTAACTATGTACTTTTTTCAGTTTTCTCACTAATGTCCTTTTTGGAATCATACACATGAACATCTTGCATCTGGCATGCATCCTGGGGTTCAATCAAGAAAAGGAATCACTGAATTTTGTTGTGGTAGTGAGAAAAATGTTAATCCAGTCTTATTGCCCAGATAATGCACCAAAACATTTTGGTATCTAATTTAAAAATATCATGCTGAAATTTTTGACTGTTTTGTACTTATTAGGCACCAGTCTTAGACTATTATCAGTCGATTTTTGCAACTCCTCTTTGGGCACCTTAAAGTAACATAAAAAGGATAAAGTGGTAATATCCATATTTCTCTAATTTGACTTATGTTCTTTGGGGAAATTTGCCGCTGCTGATCCTGATTTTATCTTCCTTTCATTCTCATTGGCACACCACGCTCCCACTACTCTAATATCCTTATTGTGTTCTAATTCAACTAACTTAAGAGTTTGTTTTGCTTTAGTTTGCGTTTACTCTCCAATTTTCTCTCATTTAAGTTTGGGGTGCTCTAGAAACTTGAACTACAATAGAAGAATTTGATAGCAGAGGGTCTTGGACTCTTTTCACCTTAAACATGGAGGTATTTGGGAAAGCTTCTTCTAACACACATAAAAAGTTAAAAAGGAGCTAGAGGTAAAAACCAATTTGGTAAGAAGCCTTGGAATTTTATTTATTTATTTATTTATTTATTTATTTATTTATTTTTGAGATAGAGTCTTGTTCTGTCTCCCAGGCTGGAGTGCAATGGCGCTATCTCAGCTCACTACAACCTCCACCTCCTGGGTGCAAGCGATTCTCCTGCCTCTGCCTCCTGAGTAGCTGGGTCTACAGGTGTGCGCCACCACACCCAGCTAATTGTTGTATTTTTAGTAGAGACAGGGTTTCAGGCTGGTCTGGAACTTCTGACCAGAAGAGGTCTGTTCGCCTCGGCCTCCCAAAGTGCTGGGATTACAAGTGTGAACCACCGCATCTAGCCAAGCCTTGGAAATTTTGTACTCAAACTGTTTTAATAGAGCGGGTTGTGATAGGACAGGTCCTGAGCTTTTTAGGAATAAATTTTAAATAATAGTGTACAGAAACTGACCATAAAAAGTGGGCTTGATTTTATATGTTTTTTAAAACTCAACTATTTACAAACATTGAGCACCACAATTGTTGTATGCAGTTATATTAAAAAATTGAAAATTTCAAAAACATTAAAAAACCAAAGAATTGCTCATTCTTTATAGACGTAATTCTCATAGAGTAGAGATAGGAAAGATGAATTTTCACAATCACATTTCCAACCCTTGGAAAACCCACTAAAACAATTCATAATGAAGGCATGTTTGCAAAAAGGAGATTTATATAAATATCTCAAACTCATTAAAGGTATTAAATCATATTCATCTCATTTTAAAGTTTTTAAGTAATATTTAATGACATGAAAATTTCATATTTATTTAACAATGTTGAGAAATTATTTATTTCCCATCTAACACAATTTCTTCCCCAAGTTTTTGTTTGACAAGAAATTAAATAATCATTGCCCAGTTGCTTAAGCCAGTAATAGAAGAGTTATTCTTGGTTCTTCTCAGTTGCTTAAACTAGTAATAGAGGAGTTATTCTTGGTTGTTTTTTTTTTTTTTTCCTCTCTCTCTGTTTTTCACCTACTGACATACAATAAATCACCAACTTCTGCTTGTGGAAACTATGTATTTAAGTTTTCTTCTCCCATTTTTTTTTCCTGCATTGCCACCCTCACCCCAGTCTAAACTATCATTGTTCCTTACATGTACTAGTAAAATAACTTTCCTTCTTCTAATGTTGCTTGTGTCTCCCTTCTAAGTTGAAGCTTCCAATAGTGATGTGTCCTGTTAAAACTATAATTGATCACATTATTTCTTTAATTAAGTATATTACGGAACCCTGATTAATACTGAATAAAGTTATTTCCTTTACATCACCCATAGTGACTACCTACATGTTCTCATCACTACTGGCCACACTCAAGTTTTCTAGCTCCTGATGATTCCTAGAACGCAGTATACTTTTTTCCAGCTCTGCCTAGAAGTGTATTTCTAAAAATGGACTCTTGATATATATGTGTCCTTTTCAAATAAATAACACCCAAAACAAAAATATCTATTTCATAGTACATATAACATCCTTTCACTCAATGATATTTCTCATAAAATAAAATTCAGCAATCATTGACAACAAAACTTATTTCACTTTAAGCCATTTCCTAAGGTCTGCCTTCAGAGGAATTTTTCAAGGAACTTTAGAGGTAAAATCTTGGAAGAAACGTTACATTTTACACATCAGCCAGCCAGTGATATCTTAGTCCTTCAATGAAGTAAAACTGCCTCATTTATTCTACTATAAATTTCAGATTTGAGTCTGAGCAAAAAATAATCATCTTCAATTCTAGACAAAGCACATAGAAAACTGACTAACTTGCCTTTATCTTTTTTCTCATCATGCATTTTCTCAAATGGTTTCAAGTTTTCAGCAGTTTGTAAGCAGTTATGGACAAACTTCTGGAGTTGGTATAATTGTAAAAAAATGTTTGTTTAGAAGTACTCTGCTTTTAAAAAATGCTATTCATATACATAAATGTTTTTGTCTAAGAAAAAGAAAAGATACCCTAATAATACTGACAAACATTGTCCCTATGCAGTGAATTATTGGATTCACATGCTTTCTAAATTACTTAAATCGCTCACAAATAATAGACATATTAAAAGTTTATCCAGAACTGGGTCCTGGATAGCAATATTATTGCTTCAATTGAAATATTTATTATGGACATCAAAGTATTTAAATTATTTATTATTTTATCTATTATTAGTTGTTGATATAGTAATTAAACATAATTAAATCTTTTTTTTTTTTTTTTTGAGACGGAGTCTCCCTCTATTGCCCAGGCTGGAGTGCAGTGGTGCAACCTTGGCTCACTGCAACCTCCACCTCCCAGTTTCAAGTGGTTCTCCTGCCTCAGCCTCCCAAGTAGCTGGGACTGCAGGTGCCTGCCACCACACCTGGCTAATTTTTTTTGTACTTTTAATAAAGACGGGGTTTCACCATATTGGCCAGACTAGTCTCAAGCTTTTGACCTCATGATCTGCCTGCCTTGGCCTCCCAAAGTGCTGGGATTACAGGCGTGAACCACTGCACCTGGCCTTAAACTTTTTATTGAATAGTTTAAATTTGTAAAAAAAAAATGAGGCTAACAACCATAGCATAAATGTTATAGAGTTAAACTGAGAAGGCATGCTGTTGAAGTTAATGTAGTTAATGTAAATATTAACCAGGTGGGTAGACAGAAGACACAACTAGGTCAATATATTTGTTTTAAATAAAAATGAGTTTTAAAAATAAGTTCTGCATATTGAAATGTCCGTATGTGAGTAAAAATAATCAGATTGGAGATGACAATTCATAATTGTTAAACAGATTAAGAAAAACTAGAACAAATAGTGGGAAACAGGATTCTATTTAAGCAAATGAACTTTGGAGTCAGTTAGGCCTGGTTTGGAATCCTGGTTTGAGCCTATTTGCTATATGTCCTTGGGAAAACTATTTATCATTTTTAAGATTGGATTTAGTCATCTGAAAAACAGAGAAAACAATTCTATCTCACCAGATAATTCTGAATATTAGTGAAGCAAGTGCATATAAAATGATTCATATATTTAGTAAAATATATAAGAACCTCTCAATAAATGGCAGATATTGTACTGTGGTTAATAAATCAATATGATGCTTCTGGTGAATCATCCTAAGGTAGATATGATATTTTGCCCTACAGAGCAAAAAATGGTTCACAAAGCTGTAGTTTTACTATTGTGACATTTTTTAAGTCCTGAAAAAGCTGTAAAATATACTTTTAAATATTCATTTATTTCAGCTTATTCACAGTGAAAGTAATACACTTTCACAGATAAATTAGAAGAATAAGAAATAACTTATAAAACACAACCACGGGTATCTATAACAAACTATATTATCTCACATACACTTTTATTTCTTCTACACATATTGAACCTAGAAGAAAATTCAGCCATAATACAATTATGAAGAAAGTAAGATGCTGATGACAAAAAAGGAAGAAAGAGTGGTACAAAGATTAAGAGAAAGAATTATAGTAACAATAAAGCATTTTTTATTGCACGAAATTAATAAACTACAAAATGTGCAGATGTCTTATTGCTACTTATCAGAAAAACTAAGTGCAATTTACTGACTCAAAATGTGTGACAATATCTTTTTTGTAGTATTTGATGGCTATAAAAAACTTAAAGGATTTCACATGTTTGGGGTGGCAGGGCGGGTGGGGGGTCGGGGAAAAAACGGTGGCAGGAGAAGATTGAATAACTTGCATAGGCTAAATAAATGATGGTTTACAATAATACGACAAACTGACCCCTCGAACATTTATGCCAATTGTGAAAAAGTACTTACGTTGAGAATATTAAAAGTTATAAAGAAAATTCAACTTTATTTAAAACATTTAAACAAATTTTAAGCAAAACGGAACAAGATGTAAAATTTTACATGTAATATTCAAGTAAATTTTCTTTTTTACTTTAATGAATTTTGGGGAAAATCAATATAACCATGATGTCATTAGAAAAGATATTTTTCTCTATAAAATTGCAATTAATATTTCCAATAGTATTGTTTACAGTGCATTCAATTTTTAAAAGCTGAAAGACCTGGGCAACCCTCTTCTGGGCTCCCTCTCTGCAGTGGAGAGCTTTCTTCTTTGGTTTACTTAACTTGTATTCCAACCTCAAAGAAAAAAAAAAGGAAAAAAAAAACAGTATAAAATATTAAACTGTGTATATTTCTTCCCTATTTAACTTTCAGGGAATATTTTAACTATTTATTTGAAACAGAAAGACTAAGGCAGTGAGGTGTATCAAACATTGTTATACTCTATTTTGTTTATTACGAAAAAGACTATAACCTTGAATAATTCTGAACTTTATAAGAACACAGATTTTGTGGCTTAAGGGTAAACCTGTAGACTCTGGATTGAGACTTTTGATGTTATATCCTGATCACTACTCTCTGTGTGATTTTGGACAAGCTGGTTAACTCATTTATAAAACAAGACTGTTAACAGAACCTACCTTATAGACTTGGTAAGATAATAAATGATTTAATATAGGTAAAGTATTTAGTATTGTAAATATTGAAAGTGCAAGAGAAATTAGCCATTACTTTAAATGTTTTTATTATGTCAATGACATTATTTTAAAAAGTGTTTCAGACCCGTTTTGGCAGAAACATGGATTTCCACGTGAGTATTAATATGATAATAGAGCAATAATGCATCTATTTAAGAGAATGCGTTCAGAGACAATGGCATTCATACTCACAGAGACTAAATATTTTTGTTTTACTGCTTAAATACCTGAGGTTGAAGTGAGTTAAAATTGATTTTTGTTTGGAAGGATGTCCTGATCTCCACATGCATACAGATAATTGGTCATGTGAACGGAAGGAACATATTTTGCTCAAGAGCTTTGAAATTGAGTTATTTTTATTTGCCTACTAAACATCTCATTGAAGCTTAATGAGGCAACAGATCTGCCAAAAATCTCTGAAACTGCAAATGAATTCAAAGATTACTGTTAGATTATTTGAATGTTGCTATTGTCATTCATCTAACAGTTGTGAAATATAAAAGTGCTACTGTTTCTAATTACCATGATTAGCTACAGATCATCTTACATTAACAATGGGATTACTCAGAATAGGGTAAAAAATATATATCTGGAAAAATGCAGGTGCAGGCCACTGGACAATGAGTGCAATACCTCTATTTTTAAAAATACTCGTATTCTTAATATAATAACAACTACCAATAGATTATGACAAAAAAGGATATAAATCCTCACTTCAATGAATGCTCTCCAAAATATATTTTTGAAAGCTAAAACTCCTTTATCTTCAAAGCAATTGTGATATAAACATGTCATATATTACAAACTGAGAAACTCCAAAAAGGAGAAAATTTGCTTTCATTTTATTTGTTTTGACCAAGATGTTCTTGATGTTCCCATCACCTTGATTAAATTTTAGACAGTTTACTCCCTGACTATAGGCCGCTGACCTCCCTATTATTATAGCACTCACTTAAGAAAGTGTCCAATTGTAAATTGTTGCTCTGCCTCTTTGAAATGTAAATCTTTTCCCAGCCAAAAAGTGTTTCTTAAGGACCTGAAAACATCCCTTTGAAATATAAACATCATGAAAGATAGTGCCCTTTCTCACAGTCTTCATAGTTGCCTGACTTCAGTAAGCAACAATTAGCAGACACAGATGGACTAATCACATTGACAATCTGATATCATTTGTCTGTGTCTCCACCCAAATCCCACCTTGAATTATCATAATTCCCACCTGTCAAGGGTGGGCGGGACCAGGTGGAGATAATTGAATCATGGGGGCGGTTTTCCCTGTACCGTTCTCCTGGTAGTGAATAAGTCTCATAGATCTGATGGTTTTATAAACGGGGGTTTTCTGCCACAAGATCTCTTGCCTGCCACCGTGAAAGACGTGACTTTGCTCCTCATTCACAATCTGTCATGATTGTGAGGCCTCCCCAGCCATGTGGAACTGTGAGTCAATTAAACCTTTTTCCTTTATAAATTATCCAATCTCAGGTGTGTCTTTATTAGCAGTGTGAGAACAGACTAATACACCACCCAGTCCTCCTAAGTCTTCCAATAGTTTTCCACTAGCTTATCTAAGCACTTGAAAATTCTGCCACATTTTGTATCAATATAGAAGAGTTCAATATCTCTCCCCTATGCAATAGTCTTTAATAAATGATTTCTTGCCCCTCTTAACTTGTCTGGTGCAATTTTTCTTTGCCAGTTTGTGTGAAAATTTATTTAAAGTAGCATTTCACTGATGTCAAGAGTAATCAAATCCCAAAATAATGAACTAAAAGGATGTATCTTCATTGTACTTCATATATTTTTCAATAAAAATGTAAAAGATGTCAACCAAGTCAGATTCTTTAAAAGGTACGCAGCATATAATATTGTCTTGCACAGTCATTCTCCATGATCCAAATGAAAATTTTTACATTTTAACACATTCTCAATTAATTAAATATGGAACAATTTAAAGTTTATTTGGAAAACTAGACCTACTAAGAAAGGCCCCAATGTTTTAAGATTATGTGTATTTTACTAGTTGGACTTCTGACAACTTTCTGGTATTTTCAAGTAAGACTATTTGATTTAAAGAACAACAACAACAAAAAATTCTTAAAGCAAAGAAGTCACATGCACACACAAAAAGCAGAATCCCACACCTATTCCATTGTTGTAAATTGGCTTCTTATGTGTTACCTATCATTAGACAGGGGAGACATATGCACACAGTTTCATTTTAGTCAGAGTCCATTCAGAAATGTAGCCTGTCAAAGTGATAGATGTTTAAAAAAGATCGAAAACTAAGGAGCAATTAAGGATAATTGACACCTCATTGTCTTTGAAAGACATCTTTTCTGAAGAGTTAAGGAGCACAATACCTTGAAATTCTTACTTGACAAGAAGCCAAGACCTACATAGGGAGTGTGCAACACTTGGCTAAATTTCTAAATATTGCTAATTATGTTGAATAATTGCAAGAGGGAAAGAACAGTTGGAGCCTGTTTTACAGAACAGCCAGTTTAGAGAACAGCCTAAAGAAATTTTCCACAGAAATTTGGGACAGGGCAGTCAATATATTCATCTTAGCTTCCTGATACTGACTTTCTCTACTCTAGATTCATGCCATATTTAGCATAACTTAAAAATGTTTCATAGACATTGTTGCCTATGTATAAAGGAAGAGGTTTTTTTTCATTAATCTCTTGGATAGACATTAAAAAGAAAACTAATGGGAAATTAAGCTTTAATACGCATTAGTAAGATGGAATAGTATCATCAATTAGTTTCAACATTTGAGTCAAGCAGGAACTCAGTGGCAGGAACTTGGTGGCATGATTTATGGGTTTCACAAACCCTCAGTGTCCAAACACAGCTTTCTCCACTATATTACCACCTTGCTATCCCTGTCCATTTTTGCCTATTATACCCATCATTAGAACAAAGCTCTAAGTTAGGGAACAAATGAAAGTCATTATTTAGTAAACACTAGTGTCAAAATCACATGTGTTCCTTGGTTAAAATACAAATAACAGCCCCTGCTAAAAGCATTGATTAATCGAATACAATTGTCATTTTCTTGGAAGGAATAGAAGTAATGTTTGAGTATATATGCTAATAATATTTTATAATTGCAGAGGTTAGACTGTTTGGGAGCATGATTACAGCTATTCCTAGCATTGATAATGCTTTAGGGAATATAGGCCAAATAAAGTGAGTTGGGGGAATCTTTTAATAGATGGAGAGAGAAGAGAGACTAGGGTTAGAAAGGATTGGCTAACACAGCAAGACCAAATTCAGAGCAGAACAACTATTCCTGTTCATTCTGTTTTAACACTGGCACTTCTTTTTCTCTGATGTACCTTCATAACTAATTGTCTCCTCATTTGTTTTGGTTGCACCTTTTTTTTCTGATTTGTAAATGATATAGAGGCAAATAGAATTTATGCAGGATCATTTTTCAGTTCAGATAATTAAAATTAAATAATTGGAAACTATTTAGAATTCTACACTAGTTGGATATTAAGCAACGGACATTTGCTTCAACAAATCTGTACAAAATTCAATTATAAAATGTTTATTGTCTCGTAACTGTAAAAATGAATAATGTACTATCCACAGAATAAATCAGATATGCTCACTAATTCACAAATCTCATTTTTATTTATTTGTCCTTCTGTGCTCATCTCCTTTTCCTCAACTTACACTTTTAAAGATATACATGGAAAAGTAGGAGCAATGTCATCTATCATGGTAGTTGTCTAATGCCAGTACCCTGGAACAATGGGTGAAACAGAGCCAGAAGAGCAGTGAAGGAATAAATAACCCAGTACTAAGTTGGCAAATCTTCAGGAAAAGCAAAGAAAGAAAAAGCTTTCATATGGATTTTTAAAACAGTCCTCTTCTGTAATCACACAATTAGATTTTCCTCCACACATGTTCAGTACTACTGACAAGATGGTGAGCTTTGAAGAAGTTGTAAAAGGAAAATTAGCACCATTTGGGGCAGGCAGTCAACTAAACCAATCTGTTCTTGAAAATCTTCAGCAGCTATTTTATCCAATTATTGAATAATTGACAGGTATTAACTTAAGGCTTTCAGTTGTAACTACTATACTAAAAATGACTCTGAGGTTAGGACTCACTGACTTCAAGGAGGAATTTTAAGTGACCGTAAAAGAAAGAAGTAAGTTTAGCATTAAAGTTTGATGACTGTAAAGTGATCTGGAAAAAAGTGCCTGTTTTTCATGGATTGAAAGACCAACTGAAGGACTTGCCTATGAAATTCAGAGGACGAATAAGAGAGTTATCTTAGCACATATGTCACAAGAAATGAAGAGACTGTAATGATAGGTAATGCATTTAGAGTGCAGCAGCTTTTCATCAAAGTTTTTTAAAAAGACTTCATAGTAAATTTTTTATTATGAAAGTATCAAAGACAAAATAATTATTTTTAAAAAGACCCATACTGTTACAACTCAACATTTTATAATATTTCAGAGAATGCTTTTTTAGTGTTCCTTAAGAGGAGGAAGACTTGTGCTTATGTGAATTGGATAGTTTTCTCATCAAGCTTATGGCCATCCTTCAAGTCCCTTTCTATGAGAATCTGCTCTCAACTCACAGCCCCCACTTGTGAAAGCATCTCTAGGAAATATGTTCTTCACTTATTACAGGTGATTAAATCAAGGCTTGCTATTTTACCTGTGGGTGACCAAGCCATAGCCTGCATTGTAATTAATTATAATACTTAGAGCAGAAAAATATTTTTAATCAGTGGAATAGAGTCCTCCAGTCAATTTTATACTTTCAGGAATTAGAATTAGAAACTATTTGCAGGGAATCATGGCATTTTGTTAATAGCAAGTAAAAACAGTTAAAATAATTTACGTAAGTTAGCCATCTAATACCCTAGTTCATAAGATACCTGAATAAATGAATAAGAACTAGAAGTTACCAGGGACTTTAAGACAGTTAACATGTCTACTGAGCAGAACAGTTGTTTTCAATGTTGGCCCTTCATTGTAATTACCCTATGGAACTTTTAAAAACTATGATGCCTAATTCCCACTTTCAGAGAGGTTGGGTTTATTGACTTTGGATGTGACTTGGCATCATGCTTTTTAAAATCTCTTAAAATAATTCGAATTGCAAGCAAAGCTGAAATGCCTGGAGTAGAGAACAGGGATTGTAGTGATTACAGCAAGAGAAGTAAAAGTAGTAGTAGAAAGTAAATTTGGCCGGGCATGGTGGCTCATGCCTGTAATCCTAGCACTTTTGGAGGCCGAGGAGGGCGGATCACTTCAGTTCAGGGGTTCGAGACTAGCCTGGCCAACATGGTGAATCCCAGTCTCTACTAAAAAAACAATTAGCCGGACGTAGTGGCACACAACTGTAATCCCAGCTACTTGGGAGGCTAAGGTGGGAGAATTGCTTGAACTCGGGAGGCAGAGGTGGCAATCGTGCCACTGCCATGCCACTGCATTCCAGCCTGGGTGACAGAACAAGACTCTGTCTCAAAGAAAAAAAAAAAAGGTCAATTTGGAGCTGCAGTGGATTTTTCCATCTCCAGTTTCTCTGAAGCATACTTGAGATTTGGGGGATACTCACATTTCTTTACTAGCACTTTTGTATCCTCTTTGTATACCTCCATGGTATGAGATAAAGCACATCTGTGCTCCATATACATAAAAGGTAGAAACTCATGTAAATATCTGATATATATTCTATGTACTCTGCATGAATTAGTCATTTAATTCAAAAAATGAAGTACAGTTTTGATCCTCATTTTAGAAAACAGGCAAAGAGGGGTAAAGTAATTTTCCCAAGTTCACACAGTTAATAAATAAGTGGTAAAGATAGGATTCAAGTTCCTGGACTCGGATTTTGGATTTGAGCTATATTAATTCTCACACAAATTTATTTAAATTAATAGAAATATTACTCCAAAATCTAAAAACTCACCTCAAAATAAGTATCTGTTATGGAATGGCAAATACAATTTTAATTTATTTCATTCAATACATACATATTGAATGCTTAGTATAAAACAATCAAAGAATTAGGCACTGGGAATACAGAACAGGATAGGAACTTAATGTGTTCATGTTAAAAGAAACTTTTTCAGTCATTTTAAACTTAGACTAAATTGAAAACATACAGCTACTATTGATGGGCCAGGCTCTCTAGAGCAAATGCTTTTCATACATTATCATGTTAAATAGCACATTTCAAGGCAGAGATAGGACTCTATAAGAATGATAAAATAATTTTATAGATAAAATATCTTACTCATTTTTGTGCAGATGATAGATCACTAGATTTAAACACATTCCTTATTCTTAAGCTTTTACTCTTTCTACTGTCTCCTGTACTTCATTGCTCCTAAGTTCAAAAGAAAAACTAATTGGTAAACTATTTTAATTGAATTAATCTAATATTTATCAAATGCTTGTCATATGCCAAATGCTATATGTATTTTTTTCTTATCATTGCTATAGTAAACCACAAGCCTGGTGACTTGAAACACAAATTTGTTACCTTATATTTCTAGAGGTCAGAAGGCTAAAATGAGTCTTGCGGGGTTAAATTCTAGTTGTTAGCAGAGCTGTATTCCTCCTTGAGGCTCTAGAAGATAATCTGTTCTTGCCTTTTTCAGCTTCCAGAGGTTGCCTACATTCCTTGGCTCATGGCCATACCAATGCAGCCTCAGCTTCCTTCATCATATCTCCTTCTCTGACTCCTTCTCTGACTTTGACACTTTTGCCTCTCTCTTAGGATCTTTCTAATTATATTCTGCCCACTTTCATAATCCAGGATAATCTTCCCATCTGATCACTGTTTATCATGTATGCAATGATCCCTTTCCCACTTTAGCTAACATATTAACAGGTTTTGGGAAATAGGTTGTGAACATCTTTGTGGAGTCACTGTTCTGCCTACAAACTGTATGAAAAACATTTCAGTTAATTTTCACAACCTGATTCAATAGGTGCTATACCATGACAGTGCTGAGGCTTAGAATGTGCTAGTGATTTCCCCAGTCCCCAGCAGAGCAGATTCATATCCAGAGATCATATTAAGAATCTTTATGTTTATGTATTTTGCCATCTCTGCCAATTGATATTCAATGCCCACAACAGATCTTAAAGTCTGCCATGATTTTATAAAATACATTTAGATAATGAACTATTAGCATTACATCCATTTGGGCTTCTATTACCCAGAAAACACAAACCTTTGAAACTTAAACCAAAACAACTATTAATATTCTACAAAATTTGTGATTTGAAGTGAGTAATACAGATTTGAATAAATTAATGTGTACATATAAGATTGAACTTATGTATATAAAACCAACAAAGAACAGAGGTGTATGTATATGTATATACACAATTATATTTATGTTTAAAATCATTTATCAATAACTAGTAAAACCAAATGATTTATCTTTAAATTTTAATGCACTACAATTTTACATAAACACAGGAGAAGACAAATATCATTTTTTTTTGTATTTCAGAAAACATTATTTTATTAAGGTAAGCAACTTTGAATCATCTATTAGACAAAATAATAATAATAAGCCCAGGTAATGCCTGCTTATGAAGTCTGGCCTGTACTAGAACATTATATAATGTATACTGTATACGTAGTATACATTCAAAATATTTTAACATTAAATGCTGATTATTTTGCTGTTTTTCTTCATATGAAGTCTTACAAAACTATCATTGCCACTTACTGCAGCCCTCACCTTTCCAGTTTTACTGTCTGTGCTTTTAGTTACCCATTGTCAACTGTGGTCTGAAAATAGTAAATGGAAAATTTAAGAAATAAACAATTCATAAGTTTTAGATTGTTTGCTGTTCTGAGTGGTGTGATGGAATCTCATGCTCTTCCATACCATCCTGCCCAGGATGTGAATCCAGATGTTCCCTGGCTGTTAGTCAGTAGCCATCTCAGTTGTCATCAGTTTGGCTGTGGGTATCGCAATGCTTGTGTTCAAATAACCCTTATTTTATTTAATAATGGCTCCAGAGCACAAAAGTAATGATTCTGGTAATTTGGATATGCCAAAGGGCAGTCATAAAGTGCTTCCTTTAAATGAAAAGGTGAAAGTTTTTGACTTAATAAGGAAAGAAAAAAAAGTACGCTGAGGTTGCTAAAACTCTATGGTAAAAAATATTTTATCTGTGAAATTGTGAAATTTGTGCATATTATATACAGGATTTGGTACTCTCTGTGCTTCCAGACATCAATTGGGGGTCTTGAAATATCTCCCCTGCAGATAGTGGAGGACTACTGTATGTTCAAATTTAAAGATGTGAAAAGTTTTTCACATATTATGTTATTCCATACCCCTCAAATGTACTGCTGCCTTCTGAAATTGACAGACATAAAGTGAACGTTAAAAGATACATGATAACATTAAGTTAAATAATATAAAGTAGGTCATATGTTTACAGACAAGAACACTACAAGAAAAGGAGTATTTCCTGAAAATTGAATAGTGCTTTATAAGTAAAAAATTTCTACCTAATGAAATCTTGTTTTAAGCTGTAACAAAAATCATACACACATACATAGGTGACCTGACTTTTGTTTAATACTTACACAAGATACAGAGTTGCATAACTTATATCAGTAAAGATCAATCAAATGTTGTGATTAATGTATAATGTAATGCAATATGTAAAGTGTGTTCCTTCAGGCTGTTTTCTAGGAACTCTTTGGAAAAAAACTTTCCTCTATTTGTCTGGGATTTATAAAATATATAATAGAAAACTATTATATATTATTTGATTTTGAAGTGTATTCCAATTATCGATTGGTGCATGAGGAAATATTTCCAAACTGACTAGCTTAAAATAATGTATTATTATTACCTATGCTTCTCCAGGTTGGCTTGGCTCAGCAGGGAATATTCCTGCTCAAAATCTTTCATGGTGCTACAGTGAGTTGGTGGCTTGGGCTGAAGCTTTCTCAACTCTTCTTCACTCATATTTCTTTACCCTGAGCTGAAATGGCTGGAACAGCAGGAGTGTGGTTGAGCATGGAGACATGTACTCTTATTTAAAAACCAGTATGTGATTTTTCAGGCTTTGTCAATTACAAAAGCTTTACCTGGAGGGCCTCAGTGGGACAAGCTGCCCTCCCACACAACACTTGAACCACAACCAGCACAGGAGTCAAGATCTCAGACTCTTCTTCAGGCACCTCAGATCCTCTGCAGGCACCTCTGCTTGGTGTTTCTTGCAGCGGGGAGGAGTGAGAAAACTTGAAAGCACTTTTTCCTACTCTAAGTCTACTTCTAGCCCTCTCTCCTCATTCTTCCCCCTACTTCATGGTCTATGAAACTGCTGGAGGTTTTTTCTTGTGGCCCCCTTAACAGTGAGATGACACCTATGTCTGCAGTGTTCCACCGGACTTTTGACCAGTGCATTGTTTCACAGAGGAAATGAAACTGGAGAGACAATGCTTTCTTCAGTTTTAGCCTTTTGTCTTCTATCATTGCAGTAAGTGATTAAATAACTTCTTCATTTTTGACTTTCTGCTTTAATTGGCGACTTAAACATCTGGCAGCTCGGCTTTCTTCCAGTTTAGCTGATCTTCTGAGAAGCATTGCTCTTTTTCTGTGTGTGTGTGTGTGTGTGTGTTTGTGTGCAGACAGACAATGTTTGTATATATACACACATATATACATATAGTCTGTCCACATACTTAGATTGGTAAGACCAAACTTACATTGTGGTCAGCTCAAAATGGTTGAAAGTCTTAGATTTCTCAGGATCCCAACAGAGTGTGTTGCAACAGATAGGAAGAACTGACAGAATCTTGAGACCTGGTCTTCAAAACAAAACAGGCACAGCATCACTTCTAACATGTTCTTTCTAATTGGTTGAGCATTGAAGAATTCACTCTGATTCAAAGAGAGGGATACCGACCTGTCTTTTGGGAAAAGAACTATCAGTGAGTTTGAGGCTGTCTTGAATCTGATATCCTTTGAAAGTTTGTTTTTCACTTTACTTTGAGTTATCAGTAGAACAGTCAGCTGCTGTTAGGAGGAATAATGCTAAAGAACAAGGCAGAAGAACCTATGACAGGCTTTTCATATTTCCAAAAAAGCGTTATAAAATTGTATTTTAGAAATGTTCAAATGAGGTTAAAGTTAATCACTACAATGAATTATATACATGACCAGACCCATCTCAACTCTCAGCATTTTATGTAAGTAAAATCAAAGTAATCAATATGCTTGTATAAATGTTTGAAATAAATGTTTTATATTTAAGTTTCCTTTTGATCACAAGGTATAAAGACATAGTCCATTTGGTTAATTTTATCCTACTTATTTAATGTATTCTAGCGCTTATAACAGTTCCTGGCCCATGAGTATATGCTAAATAAATGTTTAGATGAGTAAATACAGTATTACTTGAGACTATTATATTAAAGTCCTAGAATTTATTTATTAACATTTATACATTCTAACCACTTGTACAAATAGTAAAATAGTAAAATAATAGTCTCTTTCAATAACTTAGAAAAAGCATAAAATATTTACATACAATCCACATATTAAAATATAAGAAACAAAAGATACTGCGAGAAGCATAGAATAAAACAAAATAACTTGGAATATACTTTACAGCATAAATGAATACTGGGAACTACAACAAAACTATATGTAATTTTAAAAAGCCTTGTCAATGTCATGTACCACCCCATTGACAATAGATATATCATAAGCTTACAGGAATATTTAAGGTAAAATAAAATGTCCCCATATTCATACATCTTTGAAGATGAGGAATTACTAAAAAGTAAAAATTTAATATCTTCAGGACAAATAGTTTCAATCACCAAAACAAAGGCAATCTCCAACTATTGACTTTGTAACTAACTGGAAACTTGTATTTTTATACTTATATAATAGATCATACTCATAATCAGATTTCTTCATGTTTATTCTTCCCTCATATTTATAGTTAAATGCTTTGGTAACTAACTAAATTAGTTACCAAAGTTCTTATTACTTCATGGGCAGAAGTCCATTACTTTCTATAATGAAACTTCTGTATTTTCGCTCTTTTCTTCCTTTTTTATCTCTAGCACTGACACTCTGCTTTCCTGCATAATACCTTATGGCTTGAGATTCTTCATGATTCCAAGTTCTTCATGATTTCAGCTTTCTGTCATAGATGTCTTTATGTCTCTCAGCTTCAATGCACTCTAACTTGTATTGCCTTTTATCTTCTTTTACACATTAAATCTTACTACTTATGACAGAACATCCCTCTTAGAGCATTTAACCCATGTTACCTTATAGTCTACCAGACAGGTTAGACAGAGATAGATGTTATTTGAATTATTGTAATCTGTGCAGCACAGCAACATGGCCATTTCCCTTTAGATAGTTGCTCCAGGCATGTCAGGCATTCAATAAATTCTGCTCTAATATGTGGGCAGTACTATTTCCAGAAAATATAAGCCACAAGAAAAAGAGGCGTTGCAAATAAAGGAATGTGTGATTATAATCACAAATCTTAGGCATATATTATGTCAGATACTTTATAAATCATTAAAGTACAATAATAACAATAGTACAAAAAGGGGAAATAGAGGTATATTATGTTATAAGTAAATACAAGAATGAAATTATCTGACTAATCAAGAACATATTGGACATAAATGAAAAGAATTAGTGAACTCAGATATAAGAGGAGGAAAATGGCCACGGAACCATGCAGAGATAAAAACCAAGAAAAAGACATAAAAGAACATAAGAAATAACAGGAATAGATTAAAATTTATCTAACAGTCTTATAATTTGGATCCCAGAAAAAAATGAATACAGAATATTATAGAAGCAACATTCAAAGAGAAAAAGGAAAGAATATTCAAATATCTGATTGAAGACAGTAAATCATATGTTTAAAAACTATTATAAACACCAAGCAGGAATGAAAACTACATCTAGGCACAGAGTACAAAATTGCTGAAAACTGAAAACATAGAAAAATTCTTAAAATCATACAGTGTAAAAGGGAAAGAGGATATTAAAAGAGTATATTCCAAGTTATTTTGTTTTATTCTATGCTTCTTGCAGTATCTTTTGTTTCTTATATTTTAATATGTGGCTTATATGTAAATATTTTATAATTTTTCTAATTTATTTAAAGTTATGTTATTTATCTTCTCTATTTTTGTTGATATATAATAGTTTTACACATTTTGAGGGTACGTGTGATAATTTGATATATCCATATAATGTGTAAATGTCAAATCAGGCTTATTAGGGGTATTCATTACTTTAATGTTTGAATTAAATGTTTATCTTTAATTACTTTAAATGTTTATCTTTTCTTCATGCAGTGAACATTCAAATTTGTTTTTTCTAGCTAGTTGGAAATTTACAATACATGACTGTTAACTACAGTAGCTCTATTGATCCATTGAACCCTAGGTCTTATTTGATCTACCTGACTCATTGTATCTATTACTTTCTATAAAGTAATGATATGACTGACAGATAGCTTTTCAAATAACAGATTGATATACTCAGGAAAAAAACTGGGAATCGAATTCCATACAGTGGAAAATCCATGTCAAAAAAAAAGGTAAAATAATTTTTTGTTTTAGAAAAAATATGATTTGTTAGAAAATTCTCAGTAAAAATGTACTGAGAAAATACTACTAAATGAGATCTAGGAAAAGCAAGAAGAAATAAATGACAATTAAAATGTTAACTAATTCAGTCAATTTAAATGAATATTAACTTGAAAACATTATGTCTGGGGAGTATTTGAATATATACCTATATATGTAATTAAAGTACATTTAAACAGCAGCAGAAAATATCTGAAGGATATGAAGTGAATGATCTAAAGTCCTTGAATTTTATAGGAAGTATTAAATGTAATACATTAAACTTTGGCAAAGCAAGAACTTTTGTTTTAAAGTTTCTCATAAGGAAAACTCTAGGCCCAAATAACTTCAGTGATTTCTATAAACATTTAATTTAAAGAATTGTATTCATACAGAAAATATTGTAACAAATAAAAACATTTCTTAATTAAAAGAAGAGAAGGATAATACAAGGATAAAACAAGACAAAACATAAAAAGTTATAGGTTAATCTCTCTAAGAACATATCCATAGGAGTGCCAAATTAGAGTATGCAAAATATTAGAGTATGCATAATTAGAGTATACAAAATATTAGAGTATGTAAAATTTGAACCAAAATTAAGGGTAATTTATCACACCCAAGTTAAGTTTATACCAGAATGTAAGATTTATTTAAAATTTACTTCAATTTGTGGCTACAACACACAGGAAATAGTAAAACTGTCAATTTAAATAGATGTGAAACAGAAAAACAAAACACCCCTTACTAAATGTGGAATAGAATCTGATAAAATAATTTTGAAGTGAACCTTTAATTTAACATTAAAACATTACATTTAATGGTGAAAGCTTTTCTTATATGAATAATAAGATAAAGATAGCAGTTATCATCATTTTTCTATAATATTTACTGAATATTTCAAAACAGAAAAAGGCAAGAAAAATAAAAACACACAATGAAATTTGAAAGAAAAAAGTAAAAGTGTCAATATTCCCAAACCGCAAAGATAAAAAAAGTGTTTAGATTTTAGTAAGGTGGCTTGATATAATAGTATCATACAAAGTAACTGCATTTCTCAATGGGTTGACAGGTGCAGCAAACCACCATGACACATGTATACCTATGTAACAAACCTGCACATTCAGCACATGTATCCCAGAACTTAAAGCAAAAAAAAAAAAGTTAGAAAATAAAAATTTTGAAGTACTATTTATCTATGGCATCAAAAATATTAAATACTGAGCCTAAATATTATGAAAAATATGCAAGAACCGTATACTGAAAATTTATACACCATGATTAAGAAAAATTAATGTATATCTAAATAAATAAAAAATAGGTAACTTTCTTGGATTGGAACATCTAAGTTTAAAGATGCCAGTTCTCCCCAAATTCATCTATAAATTCAATCTAAAAACAAGTCAGCAAGATTTTGTTTTCTGTTCTTAGCAATTGACACTTTGTAAATATGCAAAGGAGCAAGACATCCAACTCAATGTTAACAAAGAGCAAAATAGGACAAATTACCAAATAATAAGACTTCTATGGCTATGTAGCAACTAAGTGAGTGTGACATTGGTGCCAGTACAGAAAAGCAGATCAGGGAAACAGAAGAGGATAAGGAGGAAGAGGAAATAATTCAATTTTTCATCTTTTTTGAGGTATAGGATATAGATACTGATTAACTAATCATCTTGATTAAAACTAAACAAAAGCAACACAAAATCTTAAATATAAATTTGTAGGCTGAAGAATCAAGCTTTGAGTTTCATTCTAAAAATTATTAAAGATAAAGAACTTATCACATAATTTTACTGAAAATTTCAGAATAGATTTACAAAAGAAATAGACTAGTCATTATGAAGTTTGTAACCTGTCTAACTTCTGTAGGCAAATGACCTTTTGTGGTGATTTGAAAGCCTGGCTGTGGTTTAAACATTATCCTAATTTTAGGTTTGTAGCTCAATCAGCAAAGATTTTAAAAGCTTTGCCAGTCCTCTGATCTCTACTTGAGATTGACTACTTTGTGTAATAATCTTAAGGAGTCATGCATTTTTGCACGATGGGCCAAATCCTGATTTTGTTTTCAGCTTCTTAAACCTCAAGATCATTAGTAGACAAAAATGTAAATATTCTAGGACTATATTTTATGTATTTGAAATGCATTTAATATGTAAGATTGTATTGTGCTCAAAGTTGTCATTTTATCCTGAGATAATTTTTTTTTTTTTTTTTTTTTTTGAGACGGAGTCTCGCTCTGTCGCCCAGGTCGGACTGCGGACTGCAGTGGCGCAATCTCGGCTCACTGCAAGCTCCGCTTCCCGGGTTCACGCCATTCTCCTGCCTCAGCCTCCCGAGTAGCTGGGACTACAGGCGCCCGCCACCGCGCCCGGCTAATTTTTTGTATTTTTAGTAGAGACGGGGTTTCACCTTGTTAGCCAGGATGGTCTCGATCTCCTGACCTCATGATCCACCCGCCTCGGGCTCCCAAAGTGCTGGGATTACAGGCGTGAGCCACCGCGCCCGGCCCCTGAGATAATTTTTACAAACTTTTCTTTATACATGGAGAAGACGGTCTATGAATTATATTTTATATCAAGAAAATTTTCACTTTTTTTCTTTAGAAGTCTAAATTACAGCTCTAGAGTGACAATTTGATCCCATGTGCAGTTTAAAGCCAATGTCAGCCCAGTGTTACATCCAAAAAAAAAAAAAATTAAAGTCTTAGTCCACAGGTATTGAAAAGTATTATAGGTCTTAGGAAGCTGATTAAGAGATTGTTTTTTTCATACAACATACAGCAAACTCCCTAAAATCCTCTTTACCCATCTGTCCTCAAAGCCTATTTATCAGGGAAGTTGTTCATCCTGTTTTTGCTTTCCCATGTTTTAGAAAGGAAGCCAAAGTAGCCAAACCACACACACACACACACACACACACACACACACACAGAGTTATCATTTGGTGTTGCACCCTGTGATTCTGATTCACCACCCAGATCCCCTTCAACAAAGTACCTGCTGTCTCACTTGCTGGGAATTCTGTCGGTAGACATCTTCAGCTGAGCTCCTGCAGCAACTATCTAAGCTGCCTCTGGTCCAAGATTGTACTCTTTTTCAGGGTATTCCACTTCCAACAACTGATGAACTAAGGAAGTATGAAGGCCTGGCCATCTCTGCCACACTTGGGACACCTCTTCAGGGCCATTCCAGCTCCAGAGCTCCCCATGGAATTGGCCAAAACAGTTTTTGGGCTTCCATCACAGCTCAAATTCTCCCTGTGCTCCATCTTTTCTCTCCCACAGGGCTCTAAATAAGGGTTTTATCTAATATCTGCATAAAATTCATTTATAGTAAATTTTAATATAATAGTTTATTAAAATTATATTTTAAGTACATAGGAGTTATGAAATTAAAACTGTTGCCTATTCTACCTCTATTACATCAGTAAATAAAAAAAATCCTAAAAACACAGGAAAAAGAATGATATGCAGTAGACTTAATCCTATTTTTTAAAATTATCAAGTCAATGATATTTTGTTTTTTTATTGTGTCATTTTACAATTTCAGATATTTAAGGTGGAAAGTGCATGTAGAATCTGAAGTATCATCACTTTACCCTTCAAGAAATCAGAGATAACAGCATCCTTCACTTGAAACGTGATGATATGCTTAAATTTTAGAAAGTAACTTCAATGAATGTTGGATAAACTGTGTCCTATATTTGCTGCAGTATTAAATAACCCATATTTTGAAAAGCCTAACCCATGGCTTATGCTTTAAAATTTATAATAATTCTAACCTTAAAGTGTATCTTACTCACAGAGTATTGTTAGATTATATAAAAATTCTATTAATTTTGGGGTCTCCTATGTATTAGTATCTGTGATCAACTTAATACCCCCAAACTGATTTATCTATAAATGCTTTCAAATATCTATATCACGTCGTAACAGAAACTTAGGAGTTTATCAAAATAATTTATGGATCCAAAAGTGCGTTCAAAACTAAAATATTTTTAAATTAGTAAATTGAGAATTAGAAGGGTAGAATTGATGAAGACATACAATATAACATTTTTCGGAGGATACAGATTTCTAAAATTTCATTTTAGATCAACTTTTCATAGAAAGATGTTCCACTGCAATTTCAAATGTGGTACTTCACTCAATTTATAGAATAAAAGGCTTTAAATTAAAATACTACCTCTTTCTTTAACTTCCAAGATCACTTATTGCAGGCTTTTCAGAATGTTCCTTAGAGAATACCTCTCTTGCTGCTAAATATATTTTATTTAACTTGCCCTTCAATAGGATACAGACACAAGATGGTCCTTTTGCAATAACTGTATAGATCTTTACTGATTATTTATTTTGAATAAGGTGCTGTGAAATTTTGAATGTTGTATATCAACAAAGAAATGGTTAAATTACAGAAAAATGCTTAATATACGTGTAAGAGATATGTCTCAAATTAGGGTATGTTTAACGATAGGGCCAAATGCAAACTTGCAATAGGTAAATGTGCAGAGTCCACTTATTGCCTTGGGCCCCAGGGTCTCCAGCTTTTTGTGGTCTCTGGATGCTGTTGGGTTTCTGCCACATTATGGATAAATTACAGTTCTCACATAAGAACATTCTCATTATGTTATAAGAAGCACAAAGGCTGGCAAACTTCTGGGGCAATGTGAGTCCAGCTTTGAGAAGAGAAGAGTCATAACCAGTCAGAGTGTGACCCTAAAAAAGCAAAAGGATAGATATGGCACTCACCCAGAACAATCAGACCTGGGCAAACATTAGGAGAAACTGACTGCAAATTTCAGGATCCTTTAAAAGAACTATCTGTGCTCTAAGGTCAATATTTAATATCTTCTTCATCCTTAATTGGATTTTGTGCAAGATTAGTAGATTTTGGGGGACTGGACAGTTGATGAAAATAAGAATTCAGTTCAGGACTGTTTATATATGATGACAAGCAGTTTGGGAGGCTGTGACTGGAGGATTTCTTGAGCCCAGAAGTTCCAGACCAGTGTGGGCAACATGCAACATGGTGAGACCCCATTTCTACATTTAAAAAAATCAGCAGGGTGTGGTGTGCACCCATGGTGTCAGCTACTTAGGAGGCTGAGGTGAGAAGATTGCTTAGGCCCAGGAGGTTGAGGCTGCAGTAAGCTGTGTTCGTACCACTGCACTACAGCCTCAGTGACAGAGTGAGACCTTGTCTCAAAAAACAAACAAACAAAAAACAAACAAACAAAAAAACAGTGACAGAGATGAACGTGCGGGATGAGACTTCTGTAAACTTTAGTATTCTTAAATAAAATATATTCCCTTCTTGAGTTGTTGCTTATAGGTTATGTGGATGGTCAGCTGGTGAGTTAGCAAATAAGACTATCATGTTAGTATTAATTAAGGACTTGCAGCCAAACTGCCTAGATTAGAATCTTTAAGTGCTTAATAGCTTGGGCAAGGTATTTAACTTCCTGCGTTTGTTTGTGTGTTAATAACACTTAGTATATGCTGAATGTTTTTGTCCTTGCCAAATTCATATATTGATGCCCTGACTACCAATGTGATGGTATTTTAAGTGGAGGCTTTGGGAGGTAACTCGGATGACCTCATGAGGGTAGGGCTCTTATAAAAAGAGACACCATAGAACTTGTTTCTTCTCTCTTCATCGTGTGAGGGGACGTAGAGAAGGTAGCCAGCTACAAGCTAGGAAAAAGGCCCTCACTGGGAAACAGATATGCTGGCACCTTGATCTTGGACTTCCCATCCTCCCAAACAGAAATAAACTTCCGTTGTTTAAGTTTTTGTTACAGCAACTCAAGCTAAGACAATGCCTATAAGACAGATACTTGAATGCAGAAAGTTTACTGCGATCAATTCTCCCTTGGGGCAGTGAAGAAAGTAGGCTTGGACATGGTGAGAAGTTAAATTGTGCAGTTGCATAGGCCTCAACCAAGGAATTCTGAATTTGCCTGTCCCACCAGTATTGTCATGGTTTGAAGCAAAATATTCAAGCTTTGTCTGCTCCTCACAAGCTGGCATCATTGGATATAGGATAACAAGGACAGAAGAAAGGGTGGTGAACTTGGGCAGTGAAGTCAGCCCTCCAAACAGCTTAATAAATAAGAGCTTCCAATCTGGGAAGGGACCCCTCTGAGTAGCATACTAGAGCACCCACTGCAAGTATACAATGTGTATAAATATAAGAGTGCCTGGAACAAGTAAATGCATTGAAGTCCTTGTCAAAAAGAAGTTGGGTTGTCAGAAATAAAGCTGCTTGTAGCAAGAGTTATCAGTAAGTTTATTGAATCCCTTGGCATTTGGGAACAATTCATTTCTGGGGTACTGTTAGATGGAGAAACAGCATCAAATATGGAGGGGCAATATAGTAATGTGGGGAGGACAAGGGATCCCTTCCACTACTTATTAGATTTGTACTTTTAGGCAAATCTCTTACAATCTCTAGGAGTTATCATGACATAATATTTTTCACTTTTAAATGTTTTAAATTCTTATATCAGAGTTTGTAATAATCCATGTCTTACAAACAGTGCTTTATAAAATTGTAAATGTTAAATATAGATACATAGTAATATATATAAATAGATATACATACTTACAGCAACTATTTGAAAGAACCAAAAGTATTTATTGCTGGACTTAAAAATAAAACCAAGCAGTCAGAAAATATTTAGTCAAATGCAATTTTTATACTATTGCCTTGCTTTAAATTTCATAGCAATTTTCTCTTTTTGTAAATACAAGGTAAATGAAATATTTTAATCATGTTACTGTTTAATGTGTGTGATGCAGCAAATATGGAATATCCTTTGAGGTTTGGCCCATGTAACATGCATCTGAAATTCTCAAAGGCAATGATCCAGGGGCTGGATCATCAGATTATATCATAGTTCTCAATTATGTAAGTAAGGAAAGCTAATTTTAGCAATTACTGAAAGTGAATCTACTTCTGAGGTATTCTGTCATGTAAGGCAGTGGAAAACGATGAGTATATAAAAAACAGTATAGTCATAGATTTATTTACAATGAGAAAAACAACTATCAAACCACCTAAACATTCAGATCCACTGATCTTTTATTCTTAGGGTAAAATGATGAGGCAAACTAAAATATAGTTAAAGGATTTCTTAGTATGGGCTCTTTCAGAACATATGGGGATATTTTGGTAATGTAAATGGTTAATTACATTAATGTTTTATACCAACATTGTCCTATTTCCATGATAGAATAGATGAGCTACAGTCATCACCAGACTTTTGAATCCACATACTAGGCATGGTTAACATGGTAAATGGCAAGGTTAGCATAGACAACCTTTATCTCTAACTCTAGTAATAATTACCTATTTTCTGTTTTCTCTCTCTCTCTCTTTTTTCCTGTCATTATCAATAATTAGGTTAGAGTAACAGGTTTTTTCCCTCACATTGGGAACAATTTTTTTTTCTTAAGGATGCTTTAAATACATCTCATCTATTACATATAAACTTCATGGTTTAAATTATTCAGCCACCTTTATAATAAATATATTTTAAACATTGTTAGAATGTCACTGCTATTTAAAAATCTATTTGACAAGTATGCATCTCAGATTTTAGTAACAATGTTGTACAGCATTAAGGCCACTCTAACACTCTAGACATATGAAATGTTAAAAATATTTGGGTATGGACATGGTGACCACCTATTTGTAATCAATCTACCTGATTATGTCTCAGTAGCTTGAAGCTATTGCAATGAAGAACCATTTCAACCTCTAATTTTCCCTCCAAGCAACTGGACATGAGTAGATATGCTGCCTTTTCTCTTACTTCCTTAGGTCAGTTTCCCTAAAAATAGAGCTGGAGTCTGCAATTCTTATGCAGATATTTATAGAGTGAGTACTCTCAGGATAAACCTGTAAGAAAGCAAGGGAAACAGAGAAAGGAAGGTGAAAAGTTTAGAAAAGATACCGATTCAGCTGGTGTCTAGACTCAGATTCCCCAGGGAGCTCTCATGAGTGAATAGCAACCACAGTGTCATTCCACCTCAAAATGAGGGCAGTGGGCTATTGTAACTCTATGTATAAATCAGTCATCAGCTGGGGCTGGAGTAGGAGTTGTAATATCTTGGACATCTTTTGGAGAGGCAGCTCCAGTTGGGCATTGGCAATCATCTATATGAATTAGAAGCTTTTATTAGGCAACACACAAGTGGAGTGATGGAATCAGCAGCTCAATAAAGGAGATTCTGGTGGATCTCGCAAATTTTAAAGTTCCGTTTTTATTTTCTTTTAGTTCAAAATCTTTTTAAAATTTATCTTGAGATTTCATCTTTGAGCTATGTGGTTTTAGAAATGTGTTGTTTAATCTCCAGATATTTTGGGATTTCTCAGCTATTTCTCTGTTATTGATTTCTAGCTTAAGTCCATTATGGTCTAAGAGCAGACATTGTATGATTCTATTCTTTTAAATTTGTTAAAATGTGTTTTATGTCCCAGAATTTTGTCTGCCTTGGTGAATGTTCCACATGACCTTGAGAAGAATGTGTATCCTTTTGTTATTCATAAACTAGTCTATAGATGTCCATTATATGCAATTGATCGGTGGCTCTAAGTTCAACTCTGTGGTTACTGATTTTCTGCCTGCTGGATCTGTCCATTTATAACAGAGGGGTGTTAAAGTATTCCACTGTAAGAGTGAATTAATCTATTTCTCCATGCAGTTCTATCAGTTTTCGCCTCATGTTTTGACACTGTGTTTTTAGGTGTATTCATATTAAGGATTTTTATGTCTTGTTGGATAATTGACCCCCTTATTATAATACAATGTCCTCTTTATCCCTGATAAATATCCTTGCTGTGAAGTCTGCTTGGTCTGAAACTAATATTACTACTCATGCTTTATTTCTATTAGTATTAGCATAGTATGTATTTCTCCATTTACTTTTAATCTTATGTATGTGTTTTTAAATTATAGATTTAGGGAGTACAAGTGCATCTTTGTTACATGGATATATTGCATATATGTAATACATCTTTTAATGTAGCCATAACCCCAAGTCTCCAATGATGATTATTCTACTCTGTATGTCCGTGTGTATACATTATTTAATTCCCACTTATAAGTGAGAACATATGTGTTTGACTTTATGCTTCTGAGTTATTTTGCTTAAGATAATGGCCTCTAGTTCCATTCATGTTGCTGCAAAGACAGTATTTTATTCTTTTTTACTACTGAGTACTATTCTATTGTGTGTGTGTACATATATATATATATGCCACATTTCCTTTATCCAATCATCCATTGATGGACATTTATGTTGATTCCATATCTTTGCTAATGTGAACAGTGATGCTGTAAACATTAGCACTGATATATTTTTGGTGTAATGATTTCAGTTCTTTGAGTAGATAGATACCCTGAAGTGAGATTGCTAAATCAAATGGTAGTTCTATTTTCAGTTCTTTGAGAAATCTCCATACTGTTTCCCGTAGAGGTTATGCTAATTTACATTTCTACCAGCAGGGTATAAGTGTTCTCTTGTCTCCGCATCATTACCAATTATCTGTTGTTTCTTTTCTTTTTTCTTTTTTTTTTTTCTTTTCTTTTTTTGAGATGGAGTCTTGCTCTGTCGCCCAGGCTGTAGTGCAGTGGTGCAATCTCGGCTCACTGCAAGCTCCGCCTCCCAGGTTCACGCCATTTTCCTGCCTCAGCCTCCGGAGTAGCTGGGACTACAGGCGCCCGCCACCACACCCGGCTAATTTTTTGTACTTTTAGTAGATACGGGGTTTCATAATAGACATTCTGACTGGTATAAAATGGTATCGCATCTGGTTTAAGTTTACGTTTCTTTGGTGCTTGATTTTTTTTTTCACGTGCTTGTTGACCACTTGTATGTCTTCTTTTGAAAAATATTAGCTCATGTCCTTGGCCCATTTTTTCATGGTGTTATTTTGTTTGTTTTGATTTTTTAGAGATATTTGAATTTCTTGGAGATTGTGGATATTAGTTTTTTTATCAAATGCATAGTTTGCAAATATTTTCTCTCATTCTGCAGGATGTCTGTTCATTCTGTTGAATATTTCTTTTTCTGTGCAAAAACTTTTTAGTTTTAATTAAATCCCATTTGTCTACTTATATTTTTGTTGTATTTGCTTTTGAGGTCTTAGTCAAGAATGCTTTGCCAAGGCCAATGTCCAATAGAGTTTTTCTAGGTCTTCTTACAGGGCTTTTCTGGTTTCAGGTCTCAGATTTAAGTATTTAATCCATGTTAATTTTTGTATAGAGTGAGAAATAGAAGTCCAGTTTCATTCTTATGTATTTGGCAATCCAATTTTCTCAGCACCACTGTTGAATAGAGTGTCCTTTCCTCCGTGTATGTTTTTGTCAGCTTTGTCAAAGATAAGTTGGCTGTGGTCTGTGGCTTTATTTTTGGATTTTCCATCTAGTTTCATTGATGTGTTTGACTATTTTTTTTTTCAGTACAATGCTGTTTGGGTTTCTATAGCCTCACAGTGTAATTTCAAATCCGATAATGTGATGCCTCCACCTTCTTTTTTTTTTTTTTAATTTTGCTTTGGATTTCTTTGGCTACTTGGGCACCTTTTTGTTCCATATAAATTTTAGGATTTTTTTTTTTCTAGTTCTGTGAAAAATGCCTTTGGTATTTGAATAGGAATTGCATTGAATTTGTAGATTGCATTGGGCCGTGTGATCATTTTAATGATACTGATTCTTCTGATTTATGAGCACAGGATATTTTTCCATTTGTTTTATTATCTATGATTTCTTTCATCAGTGTTTTTTAGTTCTCCTTGTAGAGACCTTTAACTTCCTTGTTTAAATGCCTTTCCAAGTTTTTTTTTTTTTTTTTTTGCTATTGTAAATGGGAATAAATTCCTGATTTGGTTGTCAGTTTGATTAGTATTGATATATAGAAATATTCTTGATTTTTGTACATTGATTTAATATCCTGATATTTTACTGATGTCACTTATCTATTCTAGGAGTCTCTTGGCAGAATGTTTAGGGTTTTCTAGGTATAAGATAATATCTTTAGAAAACAGATAATTCGACTCTGTCCTTTCCAATTTGCACGCCTTTTATCTCTTTGTATTTCCTGGTTGCTATGGTTGGAAATCCCAGTACTGCATTAAATAGGAGAGGTGAAAGTCGTCATCCTTGCTTGTTCTGGTTCTCAACAGGAATTTTTTGAACTTTTCCCCGTTCAGGATGATGTTTGCTGTCACATATTACTTTTGTTATTTTGAGGTATTTCTTCTATGCCTTGTGTGTTGAGGTTCTTTTTTTTCTATCATGAAGAGATGCTGAAGTTTATCAAATCTTTTTCTGCACTGATTGAGATAATAATATGGTTTGTGTTTTTAACTATGTTTATCTGATGAATCACATTTGCTGATTTCTGTATGTTGAATGATCCTCACATCTCTGAAAGAAACCCTGCTCAGTCGTTTGTATTATCGTTTTGATGTGTTGTTGGATTTGGTTTGCTAGTATTTTGATGAAGATTTTTGCATCTATGTTCATTAGGGATATTAGTCTATGCTTTTCTCTTTTTATTGTATCCTTGTCTGAATTTGGTATCAGGGTGATACTGGCTTTGCAGATTGAGTTAGGAAGGATTCTTTCCTCATCGATTTTTTGGGAACAATTTCAGTAGAATGGCTACAAGTTTTTCCTTGTATGTCTGATAGAATTTGCCTGTGAATCCATCTGTTCTTGTGTTTTTCTTGTTGTGACATTTTTTATTACTAATTCAATTTCACTACATGTCACTGGTGATTTTTATATTTATAGTGGGTTTCCTCGAGATTACATGTATTTGGTTATTTTTTGATCAAATCTCCTCTATCTCTTCCTTTGAACATTGAGACTTGTGACAATCTCTTTCTCTTCCTTGGAACTTTTAGACTATTGGCATTCAAAGTGATTCCACATACAGTTGAATTGATATCGGCCATATTTGTTACTATTTTTTATTTGTTGCCCTTTTTCTTTGTTCCTATTTTTGTCTTCCACTATTTTTTTTTTCCTTTTGTGGTTTTAACTGATTATTTTATGTGATTCTATTTTCTCTCCTTTCTTAGCATATAGTGTATACTTTAGCTGCACCGGAAGTAACTACTTTTACATCCTTTATCTATTTATTGTAGTATAAATGTTTTATATTTGTATCCGTGTTTTAAAATAATATGCTATACTATTATCCATGATAAAAAATTTAGACATTATCCATTTATACTCTTGTATGTGAAGTTAGTATTTCAGTTTCCTTAGGCAACCTCTTCTCTCATTCTTGTAAGTTTCCATCACAACTATAGTTAATTCTTATAGATTGATTTTCTAAAAAAAAAATACACACACACATATACACACATATGCACAAGCGTTCACTGTTGAGCAAAATAATTTACTATGTTTTTTTTTTCTTAAACAACCTATCATTTTTCCTGGAGGTAATACTCATTTTTATTTTTCCTGTGTTTTATTATCTTTTAAATATAGTATTTCCACAACAGCTCTGTAAAATGCGTCACATTTACCTAAGGATAAAAAATAATTTTGTATTTTCTTTCACTTGATACTTTGTTCCTGGAGGCCTTTATTCTTCTGTTAAAACCAGTATTTTTCAATCTCTAAATTTGCAGGACAATTATGAGATGGGATTGTAGAAAAGTACAAGAGAGCAATCTGTGAACTTTTTTTAGGTTTTCTGTGTAATGCCTCAAGTTCTGTAATTTTCAACAATTTTCCTTTTTTTGTAGTTATAAATGGTATAATACATTGCTCTTTAACATTTTCTTTATTCTCACTCTAGTTCCTTTAATTAGATATTTAAATTTTCTACATTTATTTTATCTAATATTCTCTATCTCTTGGTCCTTTATTCTATTGTTAGAAAAGACTTTTGTTTTTAGTTTAAAAAGTCAACTATATTTTAAATTTTTAAGTGTTAATTTTTGCTTTCTTCCTATAGCTTTCAAAGATTGTTTGATGAATCTTCTTCATTTTCTTATAATCAGCATAACATGAGTAATATATGTGAAGTCTTTTCCTAGTTCCTGGTTTGTGTCTGATCCTAATCTGTTTGTTATGTTCTCTCTATTGTATGTTGGAGACAGTCCTAAATCTCTGATGATCCTTGGATACCCAATTCATATTTAATATGAGGTTCACAAAAGCTGGTTGGAAATTGTTAGTTTCCATAACTGTTGAGTTTTATGATAGACAACTGATTTTTTTATGAGAAATCCTCAAATGCTATGACTGTAAATTTATTTTTCCTGTGAAGTAGTTGAGTTTCTCTAGAGAAGGGCCTCTCACTTCTCTGCCAGGCATGTCTGATCTAGTTGCCGACGCAATTAAGCTAGGTGGAAAAACACAGGGGGCTTCAGACTGAGAGAGAGCAGGCACAGACAAGGACTGGGAGTGGGAGAAAACAATAAAATCAGAGTAATTAAGGATAAGTCATGATAGTGAGTTTATAACTCTTTTCTCCTTTCTACACAACTAGCTAAGGAATTTTCCTGGTATGGGTGGGAATACCAGTTCCTGTTGTTCTGGTCTCCTGGTATTAGACCAGATTTATGTCCTGGTCTATTGTCCTAGTAATCCCGATGTCTATTTTCCTGGTATGGGTGACAACTAGTATTTGTATGTTCAGATAATCTCTAGTGTTTTCAGTTTTTAGCTCGCACTTATTTAGTATTTTTCTTGTATTTAACACTTCAATTTAAATTTTTTTCTCTCCACTAAACTATTTGCCATTTTCATTTCAGGTTTCTTTCTTTATATGTTGTAATTGGTGTCACAGCTGTCTTTATATTTTATGGATTGAGAAATTTAAGTTTCTATTCCTTATTGCTGTTTTAAGATGATTTCAAGAGAAAAGGCAGAATCTACTATCCTGAAACTATAAATCTCTCTTATCTCATCGTACAGTTTAAATGATTTCTTTCTTGTTTTATTTTTAAGGACAAATGGACATGTTTGCTGTTTCTCAGTGGTGTAGCTATTGTACAGTGGCTGGAAATACCCTTCTAGTAAATTATAAAACTTTTCATAGCATATGTATCTCTCTGAAGTAATGTCTAAATTGTATTGATTGCATCTTTATCTGTGAGAGGTTAAAATTAAGGCTAAATTGTGGTAGTCATTTTAAATGTCAGTTTCTAGCGAGAAAATCGACATCATCCTCATATAAAATAAACGATATAAAATTTCTATATACTATTTTTTAAGATGTTCCTCCTTTAGAGAGTTAATAAAAGTGCACATTTAGGGGGTTAATAAGAATCCTTATTTTGATGTCTTTGAATGAGCATTCAATAGCCATAGGCCAAATTTGTAATTGATTTGATAGTGAATGTTACACAAAGTCTTAATTACCTTACTTTTAAAAACCATTATCACCCTTTCCTAACCTAAAAAAAAAATTCTAACAATTTAGACTACTTTCTAACACGGTTTTGATATATACTGCATGTCATCAGTTTCTGATGAGATCTTTTTGGGATATATTTGAACAATAATTGTGTTCTATTAATAACATGTTTTATTGTATCATGTACAAACAAACAGGTGTTGGCCAAACTACATATAGAAGAAAGAATACTTTACCAATATAAATTATTTTATAATAATTTTATGACATAATACATCAATATTAATTTTCTACTAAAGATTAATATTGTCTATTTTGTTATTTTATAATTAACATATTGTTTAACTGCATAAATATTGTCAAGTTTTTGAAATATGTAAACATACATTTATTGTGTTCAGAGTTTACTTATTAAGTATGGCACATATTAAAAATTCCTCATATGATATCATTTTCCATGAGATATATTTTTATTTCGACTATTTCAATAAAGATTCCCATGGAAACAATGTTGGTCCTTCATATCAAGGATAAATCCAATTATCCCAAAGCATTTGTCACTCTACATTACTTTAAACACAATATGTGTGTGTGTGTGTGTGTGTGTGTGTGTGTGTGTGTATGTGTGGGTAAGTGCTCTAGATTCAATGGTGAATACTTTGAACATCAAATGAAATGAACACTGAATAAACATGCAATATTTTGACCTTGTTTCAGACAGAATGCTATAATAAGAAAATGTGTTGTTAGTGGCTCACACCTGTAATCCCAGTGCTTTGGGAGGCGGATGAGGGACAATTGCTTGAGCCCAGGAGTTTGAGACCATTCTGGGCAATGCAGAGAGACCTCATCTCTACAAAAGATTAAAAAAAAAAATTAGCTGGGCCTGGTGGCACACGCCTGTGGTTCTAGCTACTTTCGAGGTTGAGGTGAGAGCATCACTTGAACCTAGGAGGTGGGGCTGCAGTTAGCCATGGTCACACCACGGCACTCCAGGCTGGGTGACAAAGCAAGGTGCTGTCTCAAAAAAAAAAAAAAAAAGAAAAAGAAAAAAAGAAAATAAAAGAAAAAATAGATTCTAATATCAACTTTGTGCACATAAGCAAAAAATGATGTAGGTTTCTGAGAGAAATATCTAGGTTAAAATATATACTTGTTTTAGCCCATATGCAATTTAATGGCTCACACAAAGTATAAACTTAGTATATATTTGTTAAATGATTGAATAAATTAATAAAATATAGAAAAAATTAAGTGATATAAGGAAAATATGTGGTTTTAAATTTATCTGAAATATTACCATTTCCACTTTTAAAGTATATCTTTCTTCAAAACATTTAACATATATCCTGATTGATCATTATCCTAGAGTTGGAAAAATATCTGGATTAAAATAGTGGATTTCAAAATATAAATCATTTTCTATATATGATTTAGAAAGCGAACCCTCAATTGATTTTACATTTAGTTGAATAAATAGACTAACTTTTCATACAGTAGACAGAGTGCCTTATAGATTTCATATGTTTTATTGAATCATAATTTAGGGTATAATAAAATACACAAGTATTAACTATACAGCCTCTGAAATGCTTGCAAAGTGTACATCAAGTCTTTCAATGGATGTGTACATTCACTATTATATATAAATGGAAAGAGCATTATGTTGTCATAGGTATGAATTTGTTCAGCTTCACTAGATTCTTGCAATAATTTTTCAAGGTAGACATAAAAATTTGCCTCCCAACCAGCAGTATGGAAGAGTTCCACTTTCTCGTCCAAATATACTATAATATTTAATTTGTATCTTATAAAAATTATTTTATTTTAGGGAGCCAAACAAGACCCATAGATTGTTATTGCTTAGTGTTTTGTTTTATTATTTACTGCTTCTTTAAATCCTGTTTTAAAATATAGGATTCCTTTGAACTCTTTTCTCTGTTATTCCTCATACAGTGCTTTTGTGGTTATTTCTGTGTTGAAAACAAAGCAAAACAAAACAAAATAAAAAAAAGAAACTGCATCATTTGTTCTGTAAAGTTTTTGGTAATCTAGTTTTGCTAATTGCATCTCATTATATCATTTAACATATATACCTGTTTTTCCTGTTTAATTGTTACTTACAGCTTTTTGATATGAGTAAATACATGTGTGCATGTGTGTGATGTTTCGATATTTCATAGGCAGATGGTAAAATATCAAATATATATTTCTCTAACTTGAATTTTTTGCTTAACAGTACAGCTTGATCAGTATTCCAGTGTAGGGTATAGAAGTGTTATTTCCTTTTAACACTATGTATGTTTCCATTTTGTGGACATAATATCAGTTATCATTAAGTCCTCTATATTTTCCAGTCTTTTACTATATAGACTGTGTTGTAATGTAGAATGTAATATGCCTTGCACATGTCTTTCTACATTTTACTGATTGTCTTTTGTATGGGCTCTTAGAATACATTTTCAGGTAATTTTTTTAGGCATTGCCAAACATAGGTTTATAAATTAACTTTGTAAAAATTCAAATCTTTATTGTGTTAAATTTTCTTATCGAAGAAGATGATATGCCTTTCCATTCCTAATGTTTAATCTTTTTATTATAAATTTCTAATCTAATGTAGTTGTTTTCAAAGAACATTTTCTGTGTCATATCAAATCTTTGACAGGTTCAAATTTTCTTTAAAGCCTCATATAGGGTCAGTTTTTGAAAGAATGGTATTTTTTTTTGCCTGTTGTAAATAGGCATCTATATAAAGGCATTAATTCTAACTTGTAACATGTTGTTCAAATACTTTATTTTTTGGTCAGGTTGTTCTATTGATAATTGAGAGATCTCAATTAATATCACTTGCATAATGTTGGATTTATTAGTTTTCAGTTTTCCAGTTTTTCCCTGGAAGTCTATTAACTTTTGCCAAAATTATTTTGAAAATATTATATTAGGTAAACAAATTTTGGATTGTAATCGTTCTGGTTATTTGAGTCTAGTATCACCATGTAAATATCTCTAACACTTTTATTTATTTGTCAACATCTTTTATTTTCTTATTTTATCTCATACAACCCTGAATTCTTGTTGTTAGTATATGTGTATTATATCTATCTATTCCAAAGTTCTAGCTTTTGATCATTTCAATTATTATGTTTTGGATATGTTTTCTCTAAAGAGCATTTTGTTGAAATATTTTTAAAATTTATGGTTTTTTTTTTTTTTTGGACAGAGTCTCGCTCTGTTGCCCAGGCTGGAGTGCAGTGGCGAAATCTTGGCTCACTGCAAGCTCTGCCTCCCAGGTTCATGCCATTCTCCTGCCTCAGCCACCCGAGGTAGCTGGGACTACAGGCACCTGCCACCATGCTTGGCTAATTTTTTGTATTTTTAGTAGAGACGGGTCTCAGTATGTGAGCCAGGATGGTCTCGATCTCCTGACCTCGTGATCCTCCCGCCTCGGCCTCCCAAAGTTCTGGGATTACAGGTGTGAGCCACTGCACCCGGCTAAAATTTATGTTTTAACATGAATGGTAATATATAACAAATTTATTCTTGAATTTTGCTTTCTACAATAAATCTGCATATCTTAGCTGATGAAATTTTTAGCCTTTTGTTGATTTTCCAAAATTTTATTATATGAAAGAGTGATCACAATTTTTTTCATTTATTTTGTATTGATGTGCACATATTTGTGTAAATGTACCTACACACTAGTGTATATGTCTGAGTGTTGTATGTGGTGGTGCTGGTAAAACAAAGGCAGAATAGGTCCTGGTTAAGCACCTGGAATTGCTTGCATTGGATCTCAGCTCTATAATTTGAACAGCTCCTTTATTTAACTAGACTTTGAACAAATGATACAATCTTTTTGTACTTAGATTTTTCTCTTGTATAAATTGTGAGAGCAGTAATGTATGTCTCACAGATTTATTGTATTCCATGAGTTCATACATATAAAAATATATGTTCTTTATGTTTATGGAACAAAGTAGATATACTGTAAGTATTTGGTATTCTTCTTAGTGTCATTTTTAAAATCACTGATGTTCTCCACAGGCACTACTGTAATTTAAAAACAGAAATGATTTATCAAGAACTTCAAATCTTTTTCAAGAGCTTTATCAAGAACTTCAAATCTTTTTCAAGAGCTTTATCAAGAACTTCAAATCTTTAGTGCCAAAGGATATTGGACAGATAACATGTGCGCAGACACCTGTGAAGTGCCATATCATAGGTGTCAGTGAGTCAACAAATTCATCTCAGGGCTTGTCTTTACGTACCTATGTTTGTTACTGTCCTCAATCCTGCAACCCCTACCCCTCACCACAAGGTGCATGAGACATTCTGTGTCACTAAGGGTAAATATAATGAGATAATTGAATAATTATAAAGTAGTATACAAGTAAAGCAAGGCAAAAACAAAACACAGCAAGCAACAACAACAGAAAACCCCACTGATATTAGAATAGGTGACTTTAGCTCTGTTTTCTTGAGATAAATAGGTGCATTGTGGTCACTTGGGATAAAGAGATACATTATGCATGGCTGTGTCTCCAATGTCTGTGTTTCAGCTTGTTTTATATGAAACAAGAAAATAGTTGTATGTTTAATATAAGGTTTTTACAAGGATTAAACACAATGATACAAGTAAAGCAAAAGAATATTTCCAGGTTAATCATAACCACTCAGTAAATGCTATATATATGAAGATTATTATTAAAATGTAATATGATGCCTTATAATATATAAATATGTAATTCAATGTATATATGATATACTCATTATTGTATATATTAATGATTACCATTGTTTTCACTTTATTTCAAAGACAATCAGAATATTATAATATAGAGTAGGAAGAAAATAATTACTGCCTGGCTTATTCTTGTATACATTTTGACAAAAAAAGGAGAAAAATGCATAATAGAACTAAATAGCCACAGATTTTGTTATATATCATAAAAGATGTTTTCAACCTCTTTATTAAATCATAATGAGTTTTACATTATTTTCTACCTGAAGCTTTTATCAGTACTAAATAAAAATTCTAGTAAATATTGAATTATATTATTCTTTCAGCAAAAAAATAGTATTTTATTATCTCTACAAAATGTAGAGGGGAGTATTCTAGGTAACTGAATGTTTCTTAGCCTAACTTCTTGCTTGAAGAAGGCCTTGAAACAAAGACTTGCATACAGATAGCTTATTTTAGCAAGTGATATCCTAAGGAACAGTAGCAAGAGACTTGGGAGTGTTAAACAGAGAAGATTAAAAGCCAATTTAAGAGTATGCTGTTGAGCTGCTTAATTATGTAGGCAACTGCTCATAAATCTTATTGACTACTCTTGGGGTGCCTTGTAGAACGCACCTTCAACTTGAGCCCTTGAAACAAGGAAGGCATGACAATATGCCCGCAGACTCTTTTTATAATTGGTGAAGAATTTTCTTAGGTTTTCTTAACCACTTGTGATTTCAGGTTTGTGATCAAACCAGAATGACTGAGCGGACTCCTGTTAGAGTCCTATGTTCTCAGAGAAATACTGGGGGAGAAATCAAGAGGTAAGTATTTCAGCCAAGGTGGAGTGGTACCAGATTGCACCTAAGGCAGCTCATTGCCACAGCAATGAGTAAGAACTGGAATTAAGTGAAGGTAGAGGATATGTGACAGAGGACTAGACATGTCCACTATAGAATATAAATTTTTCTAGACTAAAATAATCTCTTTTTTTTTTTCTCAACAGAAAAAACACCAAAGTTGTTCTTTTTTTTTTAAGCTACTATTAGAAGTTTCAGAGAGGCAATGCCTCTCTTTTCTTGCTTTTTATTCTCACTGTCTCTCTCTTCTCATTGGTTCATTTTTTTTCTTTTTCCTCCCTCTTACTACTTCTGTCTCTTTCTCATTGAAACATAATGAGATAGAAATAATTTCTAATAGCTCATATTGAGGAAATGATTAATGCAACATCTTAAAAATAAATATATACATTATATACATTTCCCAGGGCTGCCATAGGAAAGTACCACAAATTAGGTGGCTTAAAACGATGGAAATGTATTGTCTCACGTTTCTGGGGGCTTTAAATCTCAAATCAAGGTGTCAGCTGGACCATGTTTCTCTGAAACCTCTAGAAGAGAGTTCCTTCTTGCATTTTAGCTTCTGATAATTGTCAACAGTTTTCACAGTCTTTGACATTCTTTAACTTGAAGATGGGTCACTTCAATCTCTGCCTCTGTTGTCACTTGACATTCTCCCTGTGTGTATTTCTAATTTTCTTATAAGTACACCAATCACACTAAATTAAGGCCCACCCTACTCCAGTATGATCTCATCTTCACTAATTACATATGCAAAGATTCATTTTCTAAATAAGTCACATTCAGAGGTTCTGGGGTTAGGACTTGAAAATATCTTTTTGGGGGACATAACTCAAACACATACATTATTTGTGTAAATAATGTGAAAAATCTGCTCAATTATTTTCAAAATCTGATTAATTATTTTACATCATTATATGCCCAGACATATGCATCTGATTTTTCTCCTTGTTTTCAGTTCAAAATTTTGTGAGACATGCTCCATTTGTTTTTGCTTGTTGGTTCTATTTTTAGCAGATTTACCAACCACTGGGAATTTGAGATTTTCTTTAGATACAATAATATAAAGGTCATCGTGAATTTTGTGCTTGTAATTATTAAAAGAATCTGTTATATACTGGTAAATATTATGAGAATCTGTTACCTTAAACTCTGTCATTTCTACTTCTTTCTTTATGGGAAGAACAGACATACCTATTTATGGTTTTTATGAGTTGGGATCCATTTAGCTAAAATTGTGAGTGGGGTAAAATTTCTCTGGTGTTGTTTGCCTCCCATAGAAAATGACAAAATAATGTACATCCTTCAGATTAGGGACAATATTCAATTTCTCAGTAACTTGTACTATAGTTTCTGGTTACTCCTTTCTCAGTGTTTTTTTTTTTTTTTTTTTCTCTGTCAAAGCCTATCAAAACCTAATTTTTTCTTTTTTTCTGACTACTCATTATTTTCTTAGTAAACTCTGCTTCCATGCTCTTCTCCGTGGTTTCTGACAGGGCCAACGACGTGACAATTTACTTCATCTCAAGGTGTACAATTCTTCATATAGACCTTGCTCATGTTTTGTGATTGAGGTAAAACATTGATATTATTTGTGACTCATTATGGTACATTGTTCCATACAACAGCCTCCTCATCTTCTCTCCTCTCTCTAGCTAATGGTTTTAATTCTGATCATATTTGACCTATACTTTTCAATTCAGACTAATGTTGATTGATTTCTCTATTTTATGTGTATAATAAACACAAACATCAGATTTATAACTACCTTAAGTAGAAGGAAGTGTGATACTTTAAAACAAAGAAAGCACTAGTTATAACATGTGTAGTTCACCTGCCTGTCAGTAAAGATAAGCTCCAGCTGCCAGCTTAGTGCAGTATCAACATCCTCAGGGGCTTTCGGTGTCTTTTTGTTCATTTGTTTGTTTGTTTAACACAATGGTAATCATAAGACCAGCTTTGTGCCTCAGTAATGAAGCAAACAAAGAAAATGAGAGGTTGCTTTTCTGTGGCTATAATAGAATATGCATCAATCGCCTCCCTCACTGGTGGATGTAGCCAGTTTCTTTGTTTTTCTCAATTGTATAGATTTCACAGAGGTAGGACAATACAGCGGTTTAGATCATGGACCACTTTGGTTCAAGCAGCACTTTCACTTTCTTGCTATATAACCATAGGTATGTTGTCGTATCTCTTTTTTCTTTTGCTTTCCATCCGTGGACAAAATTATTACCTATGTATAGAATTCTGGTGAGGAGAAGTAAATGAGATGGAGAAACATTCTTAAAAGAGGGTCATGCCAATAGTAAGTGTAACATGAAGGGTCAGTAATCATTATTATATGGAATGTGAAGGCTCCCTTTTAAATGTGGTCTCTTCCCAAACACTGAATTCTTCAGTGACCACTATGAGCCCATGATGAAAATTCAATCCATCTCCAAAAACTAGACAGAAGGAAGGAATCGTAACTGTGGATCACAGTTGGCATGGGAACAAGGAGTAAAATTATCCAGAACATCTGAAAATACAGGCATTGGGAAAATGATGCATTACTGTCACTCTCTTTTGAGTAACTCCCCAAAATCTTTTAAAAATAAAACTTCAGGTCCATTTCTTTGTCATAATCACTTCACTGAGAAAAAAGGTGGAAGATATGTGCCCTGTTAAGCATAGATGAGAAGGAGTGAGGGAAAAAGGGAGGAAAAGGGAAAGGGAGACCGGCTCTCATCTCTTGTCTTTTATTTATATTTACTTCTGATTTCTTCTTACTCAAAATGTACCATTTAGTTTTTTTTTATTATCAATCTTGAATATTTTTATCTTTTAAGCCCTGGCATTTTCACGTTTGTCCATTAGCAAATCAATGTTAATTCTCCTTCAAATATGTAAATTCTTGAGAGAATAAATTATGAATGAATAAACTAAAATTTCCAGTGGGACTTGGCATTTTAGAGGAGGGCTTCTTTATCTCTCAAAGTAGAATATACTGCAAAATAGACGTTCCAAGCTCAAGAGCAGGTCAGTGACACTAGGAGAAAGGTCTGGATAGAGGGCTTTTCACTGCATAGCTATTAGATTTTATCTCATGGTTGACTGATAGTTCAGCCTAACCTCAACTCTATTGGAAAATAGTCTTTCTTTGCTCAATAAATCCATGAAGAGGAGGCATGTGCTTTTCTGAGCTTAAATTCTCTGAGAAAAGTTGTGGTGAAGCTTCACTGTGCTAGCATGGATGATAGAAGATGGTATTCTTACTCAATCAAAATGTAGCATGCACCCCTTGCTTCAATCCTTTCTGCTTGTGCTTTTTTTTGTAAATATTATTGATAGCTACAATATCTTATGAAATATTAACAAAATATTTTAAAATTACTATACAAACATGTATAACAACTGAAATTATACTGCAACTATATTTTTCTGGCTCTCACTGTAAGCTTGCTCAGTTTTAGCAACATGGAAACAAGAATTTGTTATGTCTCTTGTGCTTATTTTGGCTCAGAAGACTGTAAGTGTGGCGCTTGCCACCAGAGAGCACTCTTTAATGGTAACATCATATTGTAATGCCCACTGACTTTAGTGTACACTGTTCCCACACAGTCTGATTATGACTTATTGCAATCACTTTATACCAGATAATTCTCTTTATCTTTTACACAGGGATATAACTTAATTACTTTCAATTAATTTGTTCTATTATTATAAATAAATTATTGTTATATTTTAATTGTTACAGGCAATAAGTATTTCTAAATAAAATATAATTTGATACCTTTTCAATTTATTAACATATTCAGTTTTAATGTTAACAATTAGCTAACATGGTAGAATTCATAAAGAAATTTATGGTAGAATTCATAAAGAAATACCATTTTGTTTCTAAAAAGTGCTATTGCTACTAATTAATACTCTTTGCCATGGGGATGGTAGTCTTTTCAATTTCAAGAATGAACAATGTATTTAGCAAAATATTTGAGAAACAATATATATTGTCCATTTTATCTATTGAATTAAATGAACACAAATATTTCAATACATTTTCATTTGCTATTTGACAATTGTGTTTTCAAATTTAAGTAAAATTTATTCTCAAAAATTCTGAAGGAGGCAAAAAGGAAATATACATGTACGCTTGTAGTATATACACATTACATTTGTATATACATGTGTGTATATCTATCTATATATTATATCATAAAGATATAAAAGCCTGTAGGCCTGTATCAGTAGCCAAGTAGCCAGGGATTCATCAGGGAAATAGAACCAGCAGGAAAATTTAAAGAAAAAATATATGTATTTATATGTATATATGTTTATATATATTTATATGTATACATATATTTATATATATATATAGAGAGAGAGAAACATAGAGAGAGAAAAAACAGAGAGAGAGAGAGACTTATTGCAAGGAATTGACTTACATGAGTTGGAGGCTGGCTAGGCAAGTCTGAAATTCATAGATCAGGCTATGAGAAAGGACAGGCTGGAAACTCTGGTAGGAGCTGATGCTGCAGCCCACAGGAAGATCTTCTGAGGGAAATCCTCAGTTCTGCACAGTTTAGGTTTCCTGAAGATAGATGCTTGGAAAGCAACTATTTTATGAATAAATGCAAATAAAAGCCCATAGCAGCTGTAGAAGTCCAAGACCTAAATAACTCACTTGAAACAAATATGCTTTGTGATGAAACTTCTTAAATGTTTGGACTGATGATCCTAACTCTAACCTGAAACTTTTTTGCTAATCCTTTCCAGAAAACTACTGCTAAGAAAGGAGTATGTAAATAATATATGTGAAGGGTTGATAACATTCAAGTTATACTTTTTTAATGTAAAAAGAAGCTCTGGTATGCAAATCTTTGTCAGGTGATTCAAATTCTGATTTTTCAGTGATATTACTTATATGGAAAATCTAATAGTATTCTGATTACTACAGTCCTACTTGTTTGGAGCTGTATGGGAAGAAATTGAATTAGAATGCCTCTTTTGGAGCTTTTATGACCCTTTAGATGTGTTAGCTGTTATTTAACATACTTTTTCATCAAATTAACTTATAGCAGGTTTGTACTGTACTTATGAGCTCAAAGAAGCACTTTTTACTACCTTAATTCAGTGACTTCTATATTTTTTCCTTTGGGAATTCCTGTATTAGTGCACAAAGTTAGTTCACTTTTCTTCAAATTTAGTGAAACATCATCATATTATTTGATAAATAATCATTCCAACTTTCCTCATTGGCTTGTGATACTCCTTTTTCATATATCTTTTTATTATATATAGTATATATCTTATTATTATATAGTATATATCTTACTATACAGTATATATTATATATAATATATATCTTATTATCATACAGTACATATTATATATAGTATATATCTTATCATACAGTATATATTTTATATATAGTATACATCTTATTATATATACTAGAATTTATTTTATATATTGTTTTCCTAGAACCACCATATTTTATTATACCTATATAATATATATACACATATAAAATATATATTATGTATTAAAATCAGGGATGGCAAATATTTTAATATTTTGTTTCCATATTTAGAATGACCTATATAAAGTTCCCTACCCAGTGACTCATTGGCACTGCTGTGCTTCTCAATCCCCCTGCTTTCTTTTCATTAGTCTGTTGTTACACCGATGAAGAACTTGGTGTCATTTAATGGGTGCAAACTTCATAGCTGATACTCATCTTAAATGTTGTTATCTTCACTATAATACCCTCCATTTAATTTAATGATAGTAGCCTCCACTTAATTTCAATTTTAATTTACATAGCATGTGACTATATATCTTCAGATAGGCCATTTGAAATATTTGGTGCAACTATGATGCCTGATTTTTTATACAAAGTGGTGAATATGTATTCACTTAAAAATTACACCATTTTCAGTATTCAAACATTATTGCTTCTCAACAAGAAACTCATGTCCAGGCACAAGCATTAAGGCACTCAAAGGGTTCCCTGCTCTTACCATGTATCTCACCATCTGGAAGCAATTGGACTATAAAGCACTCAGTTCCAGGGCCGAGTTAGAAGCAACACTTTTCTAGGTTGGCGTGTGTTGTTTGTGATGTGGTTATCTTTTCTGGACCAGCAACATCTTAGGTGTTTGATTTTTCCGTGATGAGAATACATTGTTCTGGAATCCAAAGGGTGGGATTGGGGGTGGCATCTCTTAACATTTCACCTAGTAATTCGCTCACAAAAGTTTGATCATCATCTATTCAACTGTGGTTCTGCTGGTTAAGAAGTTTGAGATCCCAAAGGCAGTATTATTCCACCATTAGACACAACCACGTTCCTGTAGCTAAGAACTGCCTTTTGACCATTTCAAATTCCTTATGTCCCTGAATAAACAGTCAAAAAGGACATTACCACAGTGACTGGGAATATTAGACTGATTATAATGGGGAACTGGACTTCCTGTTAGATTATGCAGTTGATGGAAGGATATTTTTCCAACCCAGAAATCTTGTGAAGTGGCCTGTTATTGTGCCATGTCAAGTGGTAAAAGTCAAAGGAAGACCATGGGAACCAATAAAATAAGGATCTCCCTAAGGTTCATACCCTTCCCAAATGCAGATTTGAGTATCCCCTGAATAGAGACCTTCACCTGCTGAGGGGGTGGCTGAAGGAAAAGGGAACAAAGGTGGCAGTGGAGTAAAAAGGATATAAATAATAAATACCAAGTAAACCTCAAAAAATTATACCATTCTCTCTTACAATTTCTGCTTACTAATTTTATTCTGGGGTCAGAAAAAATGGATGTCTTTTTCAAATGACTACAGCTAGAAATAATCCTCTAGGACCAATGTCAACATATTTAATATCTTCTGATATATATTTCCCTTATAGGTACCCAGTACTGTCCTGCACTCTTTAGAGTTCTCTTCTTATGTTAAAACCTGATTTTAATTTCATTAAGATATCTCCTACTCTATCTGATTTTCTGTCACAAAGCATATATGATATAATGTTCTCTAGTAAATTCCTAAAGTTGAATGTTGTCTCAGCATTCATGTAAAATACAGGTTTAACTTTCTCATAACAGAAGCCGGGCTTAGTCACCCTGGACAATTTCTAGTTCCCCACCTCCTTCCAGTTTCTCAGTGTGGTCAATCCAACTATTTGCCTTATACAACCACCTCCTGGTGATCACCTTCCTGTGGAACTGCTAGCTATGATTTATTTATAATTTATTTGACTTGCCCCACTGATCCCACTCCTCTCATAGATTGCACATATATGTTGCTGTAACCACCTCTTAATTACAGCATGACTCTGTGGAACTCAACCTGCTGCTCAAAACCCACCCGGTAGAAACCCCTCCCCCCCCAAAAAAAACAAAATAAAACAACAGCAACAACAAAAAGACCTGCTTAGGTTAATTCCCTGGACCCCAATAAAGGCTTTGATGGCTAACAGATCCCTCTCTCTTTCTGTCTTTCTCTTTCTCTTTCTCTCCACTTGCCACTTGCTTCTTGACCATGCCTGTGCCAGATGACTCCCCTTTTCCTGTCAGTCCTGTGAGGCATAAAGCCCTCTTCTTTTTAGAATATGTAGGTAAAAAACTGCCTATGTTATTTCATTTTTTGTATGCCTCCTCTGTGTCTCACCTGACCAGCACACTCAAGCCTAACTTCTCTTGCAGACAAGGCTCTTGTAGAGAGTGGTTATTCTGATAAAAGTAAACAGGACACAGATCAGACAAGAGAAACAAAGGTGACTGCCAGTATACACAAGTTTCCCATGAGAAGGACACCTGGACTTGAGTCAGATGCCTAGGCATTAAACTGCCCACCAGGAAAAAAAATGTATCTCCTGAAAATTGAAAACATCCATGACCAAATCCCCCAGAGCCCCATCATGGCAGGGCTGAAGTTCATAGCCACTCTCCACTGATACACTGTGAGACCAAATTAGAAAAAAAATACAAAGACCTCATTTTCTTATGATTTTCTGAAAAAATAATTCCCACCAAATAAATGGATGATAATAATATAAGACACAATTCCTTGGAGGGAGCATTTAGTACCTAATTAAGGACTTCTGGAGAGAGTATGATTAAGGCCTGGAATGACCAGGGTGAAACTAGGATTCTGGGACCAGGTGGCTGATTCTGCCTCTGCAATGAGCGTGGCACAAAATTAAAGACTCTGGTGTCTAGGGGTTGAAAAATTAAAACGTGGGCTGTCTTATTTTGAGAAATATGAGAAGGAGAATCAAATTGTAATGAGATGTCGGTGGAACATATACTGGGATTTGAAAATATCAATTAAAATTGAGCATTTAGATTCAAGCAGATCTCAGCAATCCATGTGCACAGAAGTTTAACGAGTGCAATAAGAAGGACAGACTGAGTAGAATTGGTATTTCACTCTTATTAGTCATTCCTATTTTCCTTCTTTTTCTAGCACTTATACAAACACCTCCTCTTAATTTGGGACACATATTCTTAAGACAGTTGTCAACAGAAGAAGTGTTAGGAGGTACACGTGTTTTCAAAATACTCATAGCACCTCTTGCCCTGGGTTATTCGTGGTACTACATACCATTCTATTAGAGAATAAGTTCCATGTAATATTTGCTCTGAGTCCTTGTTCATATTCAGTTCTAAACTAGGAGCTGCATTTGAGGCATTTTAAAAGAGGACATTGTATTATTATTTTCCCAGGAGTTTCACATTTCAATTATTTCAGTTTTTTTTCCCATTGGCTAGCATCTGAAAAAAATAAAATATATGTATAATAGCTTTCAAACTATTGTTTTACATTTCACTTAGAATCCCACAGATTCATGATAACTGACAATGTCCTGGGGGAAAATGTATATATAACACAGGTTTAACAATACCTGCTTTTAAAACGTTATGTAACATATGGTTGGCAAAACAAAGATTCAAAGACTATTTAAATAATGAGATCACAGGATTATTTCTAAAATTATGCTTTGATAAAGTTCTAAATCTGTATAGAGAGGTTGAATGATTGAGAAAATGTAGCTGTTGGAGAGTATTAGCCATTAGGAGACTATAGACATCCACAGGAAACAATTTTGCAAGGAAGGAAATAGTGCTTTTCATTAGATTAATAGCCAGCAGATTGATCAATGTGAAACATATGCATCCTCTATTACTATGAAACTATTAATGTGTGTTGAAATTCATGTAAGAAAATAATTCAGCTAAGCTCATATAATGACTTATCTGACAGGAAATATATACATTTTAAAGTTAGACATAGAATGGTGATTCCTTTTTCTTTTTTCTATACTCATTTTTTACCCCAAAACTTACCTCATTAAAACATATATGCAATATACATATTTGCAAATTATAGGTGTTGACATATTTTTCCAGAAAATTCTGTGGCAACAAAACATCAGTTTTTGGGTCGTAGAGTCAAAGTAAGATAGCATACATAGGGCATACTTAGAGGTGAGCTTCTCAAGAATCAGGCTAAAGAAATAGGTAAATTATTGGACAGAATAACCAGGGTTAATAAATGCATGTATCTTTCTCTTTCACTTTAAGATACAGGACACAAACAAAGGATCTCTCAACCACTCTGTTTTACTCAGCCATCATGTAAAATGGTTTTGTTTGTTTTTTGGTTCTCTTTGATTATTTCACACATTCTGTTGGTAAGGTTTTGTTTCCTTCCTTACTAACAAAACCTTAGTACTAGGTTTGGTTTCCTCCCTTCTGTGTTTCAGTCCTTGGCAGCTGGCTGGAGGTTTTTTTTCCCCGTCATCAGAATATCGAAATAGGTAATATATAATGTATATATTGATATGAAATATAAGGAAACCGATTTGTATGAAAAAAATATTTTCTACTTTTGTGACTAAAACGTTTAAAAATAGAAATTTGCTCTGTCATACATTTTGCTGAGAGATTAATTTTGTGATCTTAGTCTCTTGTTATGGTCCCCCAAAATTGTAAACAAGATTATATAGAAATGAAGTAATGGGTAGATATCATATTATTTGTTTTCTAAATAGGGATACTTTTGGTGATTCAGAGAGCCAAATAATTGTCAGATGCCAACTGATCTATAATAGGGCATAAAATCAAACTGCCTGGGGAGAATAGTGATGGAATGCCATGTAATGAGATTTACAGAATTTTCTCGGAATCCCTCATATGTAACAAATATATTTCCTTACGTTGTACTTCCTTCAAGGCATTAAATAAACAACAGTAGAGCTATTTAAAATGACTGAAAAATAAAGGTGGTTTTACTTTATTTAGGAAATCAAAATCATGATGAACAAAAATTGTTGTCATATAAGTAGTCTACCCTACATTCATTTATCTCTGTCCTTAGATTAATTTATTAGATTGGAGAAATCACACCTTTGAAGGCACAAGAAGTCTGCTCTCAAGGAGAAGGGATAAATATAAGATGGTTCTACAGTGTTGGTGCATATTATCTTCAAATACAGGTAGAGATATAAAACCATACCAAGATGTTTAGAATTTCAGAGTTGGAAAGGGTATTGGAGATAACTTATTTAAAAGTGCTAGTTTTGCAGATAAAGCCATTGAAAGCGAAAAAAAGATCCAAGGTTAAACAGTTTTAAAAAATTTTCTTATTGTCTTCTCAAATAAGAAGTGCAGCTAAAAAGGAATTTACAGAATTATTCCTCATTCAATTATGAGATAATAGGAGTAGATTAGAAATGGGAACAGATATTAACAGGAAAGAATGTCCTTAAAGCATTTTTATAGCTGAATGAAAATGTGCAGATTTAGAAGAGTAAGACACTCATCGATTACTCGTCATTTAAATTGTTAGGACAAGAATTAACTACTTTTATTATTTTTAGCATTTTAATATTCACTAGTAACAGAATTTAGTACCTAAAATATTCTTAAAAATTAAGTAGAGTTTTTTACAGCTTTGACCTTTCAAATATTTCACATTCAAATTTGTTGGCAATTCTTTCTATCCCCACAGGTTACTGAGGCCATAAAAAGAAAAGGGAATTGCATAACTAGTGAATTAGATGCATTATAGGAAAAGGCCAAAGTCTATGGCTCCATAATTCATGGAAAGCGTAAGATATCCAAATGTCTAGATGACAAGATATGTACTATGAGGAGTAGTAAAAGGAATATTTTTCATCTTTACTATTAACAATAGATTTGCAAAACTCTTGGAGTTGCTCTAGAATTCAACCTCAAAACAGTGTTTTACATAATAATCTAGGATTAGAAACCAAGGTGTGCATGTTGCTCAGAGGTTGCTGATGCTGTTCCTACCCCTTTGGATGCTGAGTAGACAGCACTGATGAATGTTGCCCTATAAAGATTGTTCGGTACCAGTGACAGAAGAAAACTTGAGGAGACATAAGGCAAGAGAGACTGTATTTGGCCATATTTTAAATGTGATTTATTCTGATTAGAGGCAGTAATTTTTGTTCTAACTTTCTCACAAATAAGACTGAAAAAAAAAAACTTGTTACGTTAATCATCTGCCATCTCATCAAAACCCCTGACTAACTCTATGTTAGGGTGAAAAGATGGCGTGAGTGTTAAAAAAATTGCTTATATAGAATATTTTGCTAAATTCTTGGTAGATGACTTTATTATGAGATATTCACATGACTTAGGTATCTGAGTCATATGTTAGATGAAAGTTTTCATAATAGTACAAAACAAATGAATAAATATCAATACAATATCTAGCTGATACAATTGATAGAGCTTTACATGTAACAAAATTAGGACATTATATTGAGAACATTAATAAATTACTAACCAAATATATAATTACTATTACAAAATAGGCATTCTCTTATAGATCATATATTCTAATAGGAGACACTACAATTACACAGTAATTTTACAACTACATAAATAAATGTATTTATAAAATATTATCTAAAGGCAAGTAATAATTTGTCATGAAGACAGAGTATGAAATGTGAATTTGCGCAATAGTCATGCAATGGAATCCCTATACTAACCGTCTACCTTTGAATGTTTGCTATTAAAAAAATTGGGGTATTATCTTAATATCAATGGGAAGCTATCAAAAATTTTATATCTTAACAAATATAATAAAAAATTTATGGTGATATAAATCTTTATGTAATCTATATGTACACATAAGTGAAATCACACATTTAGTACACTTATTGCACTAAAGGTAATCATTACCATTAAATATATCCTAAAGGATGTTGTGCTGATTATCATGTGCATATTAAAATTAAATATAAATTTAAAAGCTCTTATACAGTCAATTATATATGCTATCTATTGATTGTTCCTATGTGTATGATTGCATTAGATACTGACATAATATATGTTGATCAAGAAAAATCTTTATAATCTAAGATATGAACTAAAAGAATAATATGAACAGTTATTTCTAAAATCTAAGACAATAGCATAGGATGCTTTATAAATTCAGCCTTTAGGAGAAAAGCAGTAGTTTAACTATTTGGGAGTGATTGTTTTTATGATTAGGAAATTAGAATAGAAAATTATGAAAAATGAAATATATTACAATTTAGTGATTATGTTATGATCTAGCAAAATTAGGGAAGAAGATTAAGTATAAAAGAGAAGAAAGTGTGGAGCCAGCACACAGACAGAAAAACACACACACCTACACACACATGAAAACACACAATGTATTGTACACAGTGCAAGCGCTGGCTACAAAGATGAATAACATATTGGTCTGTCGTTTTACTCATTAAACAACTGTTATATGTAATACATCAACAAATATGATTTCTTAATTCTCTTGAAAAATAGTTTCAAATAGTTTTAAAACCACTTTTTAATTTTTTTATTTATTTACTTTTATTTATTTATTTATTTATTTATTATTATACTTTAAGTTTTAGGGTACATGTGCACAATGTGCAGGTTAGTTACCTATGTATACATGTGCCATGCTGGTTGCGCTGAACCCACTAACTTGTCATCTAGCATTACGTATATCTCCCAATGCTATCCCTCCCCCTTCCCCCTACCCCACACCAGTCCCCAGAGTGTGATGTTCCCCTTTCTGTGTCCATGTGTTCTCATTGTTCAATGCCCACCTATGAGTGAGAATATGCGGTGTTTGGTTTTCTGTTCTTGCGATAGTTTACTGAGAATGATGATTTCCAATTTCATCCATGTCCCTACAAAGGACGTTAACTCATCGTTTTTTATGGCTGCATAGTATTCCATGGTGTATATGTGCCACATTTTCTTAATCCAGTCTATCATTGTTGGACATTTGGGTTGGTTCCAAGTCTTTGCTGTTGTGAATAGTGCCACAATAAACATATGTGTACATGTGTCTTTATAGCAGCATGATTTATAATCCTTTGGGTATAGACCCAGTAATGGGATGGCTGGGTCAAATGGTATTTCTAGTTCTAGATCCCTGAGGAATCGCCACACTGACATCCACGATGGTTGAACTAATTTACAGTCCCACCAACAGTGTAAAAGTGTTCCTATTTCTCCACATCCTCTCCAGCACCTGTTGTTTCCTGACTTTTTAATGATTGTCATTCTAACTGGTGTGAAATGGTATTTCATTGTGGTTTTGATTTACATTTCTCTGATGGCCAGTGATGGTGAGCATTTTTTCATGTGTTTTTTGGCTGCATAAATGTCTTCTTTTGAGAAGTGTCTGTTCATGTCCTTTGCCCACTTTTTGATGGGGTTATTTGTTTTTTTCTTGTAAATTTGTTTGAGTTCATTGTAGATTCTGGATATTAACCCTCTGTCAGATGAGTAGGTTGCGAAAATTTTCTCCCACTTTGTAGGTTGCCTGTTCACTCTGATGGTAGTTTCTTTTGCTGTGCAGAAGCTCTTTAGTTTAATTAGATCCCATTTGTCAATTTTGGCTTTTGCTGCCATTGCTTTCGGTGTTTTAGACATGAAGTCCTTGCCCATGCCTATGTCCTGAATGGTATTGCCTAGATTTTCTTCTAGGGTTTTTATGGTTTTAGGTCTAACATTTAAGTCTTTAATCCACCTTGAATTGATTTTTGTATAAGGTGTAAGGAAGGGATCCAGTTTCAGCTTTCTACATATGGCTAGCCAGTTTTCCCAGCACCATTTATTAAATAGGGAATCCTTTCCCCATTGCTTGTTTTTCTCAGGTTTGTCAAAGATCAGATAGTTGCAGATATGCGGCATTATTTCTGAGGGCTCTGTTCTGTTCCATTGATCTATATCTCTGTTTTGGTACCAGTACCATGCTGTTTTGGTTACTGTAGCCTTGTAGTATAGTTTGAAGTCAGGTAGTGTGATGCCTCCAGCTTTGTTCTTTTGGCACAGGATTGACTTGGCGACTTGGGCTCTTTTTTGGTTCCATATGAACTTTAAAGTAGTTTTTTCCAATTCTGTGAAGAAAGTCATTGGTAGCTTGATGGGGATGGCACTGAATCTGTAAGTTACCTTGGGCAGTATGGCCATTTTCACGATATTGATTCTTCCTACCCATGAGCATGGAATGTTCTTCCATTTGTTTGTATCCTCTTTTATTTCGTTGAGCAATGGTTTGTAGTTCTCCTTGAAGAGGTCCTTCACATCCCTTGTAAGTTGGATTCCTAGGTATTTTATTCTCTTTGAAGCAATTGTGAATGGGAGTTCACTCATGATTTGGCTCTCTGTTTGTCTGTTGTTGGTGTATAAGAATGCTTGTGATTTTTGTATATTGATTTTGTATCCTGAGACTTTGCTGAAGTTGCTTATCAGCTTAAGGAGATTTTGGGCTGAGACGATGGGGTTTTCTAGATAAACAATCATGTCGTCTGCAAACAGGGACAATTTGACTTCCTCTTTTCCTAATTGAATACCCTTTATTTCCTTCTCCTGCCTGATTGCCCTGGCCAGAACTTCCAACACTATGTTGAATAGTAGCGGTGAGAGAGGGCATCCCTGTCTTGTGCCAGTTTTCAAAGGGAATGCTTCCAGTTTTTGCCCATTCAGTATGATATTGGCTGTGGGTTTGTCATAGATAGCTCTTATTATTTTGAAATACGTCCCATCAATACCTAATTTATTGAGAGTTTTTAGCATGAAGGGTTGTTGAATTTTGTCAAAGGCTTTTTCTGCATGTATTGAAATAATCATGTGGTTTTTGTCTTTGGCTCTGTTTATATGCTGGATTACATTTATTGATTTGCGTATATTGAACCAGCCTTGCATCCCAGGGATGAAGCCCACTTGATCATGGTGGATAAGCTTTTGGATGTGCTGCTGGATTCGTTTTGCCAGTATTTTATTGAGGATTTTCGCATCAATGTTCATCAAGGATATTGGTCTAAAATTCTCTTTTTTGGTTGTGTCTCTGCCGGGCTTTGGTATCAGGATGATGCTGGCCTCATAAAATGAGTTAGGGAGGATTCCCTCTTTTTCTATTGATTGGAATAGTTTCAGAAGGAATGGTACCAATTCCTCCTTGTACCTCTGGTAGAATTCGGCTGTGAATCCGTCTGGTCCTGAACTCTTTTTCGTTGGTAAGCTATTGATTATTGCCACAATTTCAGCTCCTGTTATTGGTCTATTCAGAGATTCAACTTCTTCCTGGTTTAGTCTTGGGAGAGTGTATGTGTCGAGGAATTTATCCATTTCTTCTAGATTTTCTAGTTTATTTGCATAGAGGTGTTTGTAGTATTCTCTGATGGTAGTTTGTATTTCTGTGGGATCGGTGGTGATATCCCCTTTATCATTTTTTATTGCGTCTATTTGATTCTTCTCTCTTTTTTTCTTTATTAGTCTTGCTAGCAGTCTATCAATTTTGTTGATCCTTCCAAAAAACCAGCTCCTGGATTTGTTAATTTTTTGAAGGGTTTTTTGTATCTCTATTTCCTTCAGTTCTGCTCTGATTTTAGTTATTTCTTGCCTTCTGCTATCTTTTGAATGTGTTTGCTCTTGCTTTTCTAATTCTTTTAATTGTGATGTTAGGGTGTCAATTTTGGATCTTTCCTGCTTTCTCTTGTGGGCATTTGGTGCTATAAATTTCCCTCTACACACTGCTTTGAATGCATCCCAGAGATTCTGGTATGTTGTGTCTTTGTTCTCTTTGCTTTCAAAGAACATCTTTATTTCTGCCTTCATTTCGTTATGTACCCAGTAGTCATTCAGGAGCAGGTTGTTCAGTTTCCATGTAGTTGAGCGGTTTTGAGTGAGATTCTTATTCCTGAGTTCTAGTTTGATTGCACTGTGGTCTGAAAGATAGTTTGTTATAATTTCTGTTCTTTTGCATTTGCTGAGAAAAGCTTTACTTGCAAGTATGTGGTCAATTTTGGAATAGGTGTGGTGTGGTGCTGAAAAAAATGTATATTCTGTTCATTTGGGGTGGAGAGTTCTGTAGATGTCTATTAGGTCCGTTTGTTGCAGAGCTGAGTTCAATTCCTAGGTATCCTTGTTGACTTTCTGTCTCGTTGATCTGTCCTATGTTGACCGTGGGGTGTTAAAGTCTCCCATTATTAATGTGTGGGAGTCTAAGTCTCTTTGTAGGTCACTCAGGACTTGCTTTATGAATCTGGGTGCTCCTGTATTGGGTGCATATATATTTAGGATAGTTAGCTCTTCTTGTTGAATTGATCCCTTTACCATTAAGTAATGGCCTTCTTTGTCTCTTTTGATCTTTGTTGGTTTAAAGTCTGTTTTATCAGAGACTAGGATTGCAACCCCTGCCTTTTTTTCTTTTCCATTTGCTTGGTAGATCTTCTTCCGTCCTTTTATTTTGAGCCTATGTGTGTCTCTGCCTGTGGGATGGGTTTCCTGAATATAGCACATTGATGGGTCTTGACTCTTTATCCAATTTGCCAGTCTGTATCTTTTAATTGGAGCATTTAGTCCATTTACATTTAAAGTTAATATGTTATGTGTGGATTTGATCCTGTCATTATGATGTTAGCTGGTTATTTTGCTCGTTAGATGATGCAGTTTATTCCTAGTCTCAATAGTCTTTACATTTTGGCATGATTTTGCAGCGGCTGGTACCGGTTGTTCCTTTCCATGTTTAGCGCTTCCTTCAGGAGCTCTTTTAGGGCAGGCCTGGTCGTGACAAAATCTCTCAGCATTTGCTTGTCTGTAAAGTATTTTATTTCTCCTTCACTTATGAAGCTTAGTTTGGCTGGATATGAAATTCTGTGTTGAAAATTCTTTTCTTTAAGAATGTTGAATATTGGCCCCCCACTCTCTTCTGGCTTGTAGAGTTTCTGCCAAGAGATCTGCTGTTAGTCTGATGGGCTTCCCTTTGAGGGTAACCCGACCTTTCTCTCTGGCTGCCCTTAACATTTTTTCCTTCATTTCAACTTTAGTGAATCTGACAATTATGTGTCTTGGTGTTGCTCTTCTCGAGGAGTATCTTTGTGGCGTTCTCTGTATTTCCTGAATCTGAATGTTGGCCTGCCTTGCTAGATTGGGGAAGTTCTCCTGGATAATATCCTGCAGAGTGTTTTCCAACTTGGTTCCATTCTCCCCGTCACTTTCAGGTACACCAATCAGACGTAGATTTGGTCTTTTCACATAGTCCCATATTTCTTGGAGGCTTTGCTCGTTTCTTTTTATTCTTTTTTCTCTAAAGTTCCCTTCTTGCTTCATTTCATTCATTTCATCTTCCATCGCTGATACCCTTTCTTCCGGTTGATCACATCGGCTCCTGAGGCTTCTGCATTCTTCATGTAGTTCTCGAGCCTTGGATTCCACCTCCATCAGCTCCTTTAAGCACTTCTCTGTATTGGTTATTCTAGTTATACATTCTGCTAAATTTTTTTCAAAGTTTTCAACTTCTTTGCCTTTGGTTTGAATGTCCTCCCATAGCTTGGAGTAATTTGATCGTCTGAAGCCTTCTTCTCTCAACTCGTCAAAGTCATTCTCTGTCCAGCTTTGTTCCGTTGCTGGTGAGGAACTGCATTCCTTTGGAGGAGGAGAGGCGCTGTGCTTTTTAGAGTTTCCAGTTTTTCTGCTCTGTTTTTTCCCCATCTTTGTGGTTTTATCTACTTTTGGTCTTTGATGAAGGTGATGTACAGATGGGTTTTTGGTGTGGATGTCCTTTCTGTTTGTTAGTTTTCCTTCTAACAGACAGGACCCTCAGCTGCAGGTCTATTGGAGTACCCAGCTGTGTGAGGTGTCAGTCTGCCCCTGCTGGGGGGTGCCTCCCAGTTAGGCTGCTAGGGGGTCAGGGGTCAGGTACCCACTTGAGGAGGCAGTCTGCCCATTCTCAGATCTCCAGCTGCGTGCTGGGAGAACCACTGCTCTCTTCAAAGCTGTCAGACAGGGACATTTAAGTCTGCAGAGGTTACTGCTGTCTTTTTGTTTGTCTGTGCCCTGCCCCCAGAGGTGGAGCCTACAGAGGCAGGCAGGCCTCCTTGAGCCGTGGTGGTCTCCACCCAGTTGGAGCTTCCTGGCTGCTTTGTTTACCTAAGCAAGCCTGGGCAATGGCGGGCGCCCCTCCCCCAGCCTCGCTGCTGCCTTGCAGTTTGATTTCAGACTGCTGTGCTAGCAATGAGGGAGGCTCCGTGGGCATAGGACCCTCACAGCCAGGTGGGGGATATAATCTCCTGGTGCGCCGTTTTTTAAGCCCGTCGGAAAAGCGCAGTATTCGGGTGGGAGTGACCCGATTTTCCAGGTGCCATCTGTCACCCGTTTCTTTGACTAGGAAAGGGAACTCCCTGACCCCTTGTGCTTCCCGAGTGAGGCAATGCCTCACCCTGCTTCGGCTCGCATACAGTGCACTCACCCACTGACCTGCCCCCACTGTCTGGCACTCCCTAGTGAGATGAACCCGGTACCTCAGATGGAAATGCAGAAATCAACCATCTTCTGCATCGCTCATGCTGGGAGCTGTAGACCGGAGCTGTTCCTATTGGGCCATCTTGGCTTCTCCCCCAAAACCACGTTTTTATTTAGCTTGTTTGATATGTGGTTCACACACACACACACACACTTATTCTGGCTTCACTAAATTGGAATTCTCCAGTTACATGTAAGTATACTATGAACTTTTCAAAGGCAGCAACTGTCTTTGTTTCTGTATGTCTAGCACCTAACACAGCTATCAGAGCCCATATCAAGCCATAGGAAATTGATTGTGGTTTAGGGGATGAATTAATTACCAATTAACAGATAGATTTATGAAAAATAAATTCATGTCAGAAAATCTAAATTCTAAGCAATTTTGTTTACCTCTGACTGTTTGTGGAGCTTCTTTTCTCTTTATTTCCTCAAGCCTCACTATTGCAATTACAACTTTAAGAATCCTTTGATTCTTCATCTCTGAGGCATATGTTCTTTAAAAAATAACAATAATTTCCATTTGAAAAACCTCAAATTAGACTTGATAACTTTAATTTAGAAAAACATCAAAACAATCTATGTTCCCTCAGTATACAAATTTGAATAAAGTTGCATTTAAATAAGTTCTCACATTCATACAGAGTATCTTCAATTTGTGGATTTCAAATGCAAAATAGAGACTTCACATTGCTTAGAAAATGGTCCTTTGGGATCTAAACTTATTATAATTGAAGTGTGAAGTCCTAATTGTGTTACTTTGTGTAATGTATCTTCTATATAGATATTACTCAATGCCTGCAAATTCAAGAAGTGGGAAATGGAGTTGGTATAATGCAAGGGAGATTTATGCTAAGAAGGTTCTGTGTTGTCACGATTAAAAATTTTCCACACATTATATGAATCCTATTGATCATTGCAGGAAGCAGAAAAGTGTGCTGTTCATTGATTTTCTGTGGCTACTGAATGCATTAGGTCTGACACTTTTGATGGGTAGGCAGGTTTTCAAAGGAAGTTCAGTGAAGCTAATCTTAGTTCAGAGGAATATTCACAATGGAATAAGAAACCTTGTAATTGCAAGAGAAAATACAAGAGTGAGAGGACTATATTATGAGCCATATCAGCATAAAAATTTGACAAGAGACACTTTCCAGGAGACCATAATAAAACATATCAACGTTTTGAAGCTGTTTTTCACAAATGTGGCAATTATTAGATAAATTGGGTTTTGGCTTTTTCACCCTTCAGCCAAGACAGTGAAGCAAAGCAATTACTTCTTTTATCTTCTTAGCTAAGGGAAGTCATCAGAAGTCTGTCAAGTTCATAAAAATATAAGTGAATAAATTACATAATTGAATCACATAAGTGAAACTGATAGCAATGAATTCAATATTTTATTTCTAATTCTCTTCACTATTGTACTGGTTTCTTAAAATACAAATTTTCATCCATCAGTTTTATCAAAGACTACTAAAGTAGAGAGAGTGATAGAAAATTCAAATCATAAAGACTTATTCTACCCTGGGAATTAATTCTTATTTTAAAATTAAAGCTAGAAAGTATGATCTTATATCCCTGTTGGAATCTGTCTTAATGACTTATTAATACAATGTCAGAGTACAATATTACTTATCAGTAGTACAAAATAGTGTCAAAGTGCTATGTGTATTTTTCCAGTACATTAAGTACCAGGGCACTGTGTCTCTTTCAGGTGATGATTAATTAAATTAGCATAACCCAAGTGGTCTTTTATGCCCACAAACAAACATATACTTCGTAATTGGCCTTCTCATTTTTTTTCAATCATTTAGCATGCAAGCATACAACTTAAATTTATAAGAGTAAATGATGACTTATAGACTTTCGATATCATATTCCAATTTAATGAAATCCTCTCCCTGGGCACAGTAACATTTTTCCTCACTGCTTTTAGAAATTTGCCTTCAATATAGAAAGCTACTGTAAATTATCAATCATGTGGCGTATTTGAATTTAAAAATATTTTACTTTGTGATTATCAAAATGTTATGAGAATTAAGTATATTAAATTATTACAACAGCTATATTATTTCATTACTAGTATTTACCACATGGGGTTTTGGGGTTGACATCTGTTCAGGACAAGCATTTCAAAATCTGGTCAAGAAAAGGGTTTAATGCAAGGTTCTGAGGCTTTGAATTTGAGAAAGATGGGGTGAACAGGATTTCCTGTGTTTATTGGTGTTTTCTGAGAAAATTAATTACAATATCCAGATATGAATCTATAACTTTATACCATAAGTCTAATGTTCTTTTTTCATGTTCCAGTTTTATCTGGTAGTCCTCCTCCCCTTTCCCTCTCCCCTTTCCCCTCCCCTTACCCCTCTCCTTCCCCCTCCCCTTCCCCCTCCCCTTCCCCCTCCCCTTCCCCCTCCCCTTCCCCTTCCCCTTCCCCTTCCCCTTCTCCTTCTTCTTGCATTAAATTAAAACCCCAAAAAGTAGGCCAGGCGCGGTGGCTCACGCCTGTAATCCCAGCACTTTGGGAGGCTGACGCGGGCGGATCACGAGGCCAGGAGATGGAGACCATCCTGACTAACACAGTGAAACCCCGTCTCTACTAAAAATACAAAAAATTAGGCGGGCCTGGTGGCGGGCGCCTGTAGTCCCAGCTACTTGGGAGGCTGAGGCAGGAGAATGGCGTGAACCCGGGAGGCGGAGCTTGCAGCTAGCCGAGATTGTGCCACTGCACTCCAGCCTGGGTGACAGAGCAAGAATCTGTCTCAAAAAAAAAAAAAAAAAAAAAGTACTAAGAAAGATCTGCTCTAGTTGAGTAAAAGACCCTTGGTTCTGTAACCCAATAGACTATTACAAAGGTATGTAATCTTACCTCTTTAAAATGATTTTGGCTCCTCTCCCCCCACCCTCTGCCTCTGAAAAACTAAATCCTATGACTTTTTTTTTTTTTCCATGCCCCTTACATCTTTTGCCTTAAAGAGCCAGGCTCTGTTTTCCTTATGGTACATTTGAAAATATTCATTTTAATTTTTTTCCAGAAATGATGACATCAGAAAAATACAATTGCTGTAAAGAAAGCAAAAAAATTCTAATGATAGGATTTATTCTGGGAAATGTATATTTTGTAGCTGAGATTACATGATGCTGTACTGAACTTGACCAAAAACTTACCAAGAAAATAGTATTACACATAGAGTAATGTAGGTGAAGAAGGCTACAATAAAACTTCATATTGTATTCCAGTCTAGAAATTGGAAGGATTGAGGATAGTTTAGGGTTTTGTTGAGAGGATAAAGACCAAAGTGATGAGAGGCTGGAGTTTATGTCAAACGAATAACTGAGGAAAAACAGGATGTTTCGTTTAGTGAGAGATTAAGCCAGAGGCTTTGATAATTCTCTCCAAATATTTGAGAGGCTGTTTCATGAAAACGACTCCATTTTGGTCTTGTGTATTTCAGCAGAAACAATGGGTAAAAGTTGCAGAGACAAATGTGTGGTTCAATAAAAGGATAAACATATTATTTCAAGAGTTAGAGATTCACAAAGAAGGAATGATCTGACCCATAACATTGGAGGCATCAAAGCATTTATGCACTTGATATATGATCTTTCCTAAAAAGGTAGTATTGTTTTCTTAGGCTTATAGTCTTAGAAAATAATAACTTTAGAAACTATTGAAGTTTTCATAATAGGTAGTCAATTTAATATAGAAAAAAATGATCTCTAAAAGTTGAGGCTTTGTTGACATTTCACCCTACTCACTGTATTTTCATTTGAAGTCCCTATATAAGACAATTCAAAAAATAAAAATAAAAATCTCATACTGCCTCTGTCATGTCAATTTAAAATGGCACCTTTTGTAGAATTTATATCTGTATTAGCACCCCGACATTTTCTATCCTTTTTTTCCCTCTAGGTGTCAAAACGCATTACAAGGTACTTATGGTGATCAGTTCTGAGACAGAATGGTAGAAATGAGATAAAATGTAAATGAAGAAAAATGATTCTTAAGTAGCAAGGTATAATCTAAATTACCTTCTGTCAAGCTTTAAAAGACATACAGAAAGAGCTACATAACCTTTATGCTCCACAAATTTGTATGATAAGATTTATTTATTTGTCTTAAATGTTGCTGACACCCCAAAGGCAAATCCCTGGAAATCAAGAGTTATGGCTGCAGATTTTTGCCTCTGTAAAATATAAACAAATTTAGTGAGAGTGGCCATTGAAAATATAAACCATGGTCTTTATTTTCAGTGATACAGAAAAAAAAATAAAGCTGTTTTTCTCTATTTCATCATGTTAGATGCTTTATCTTCCAGCAAACCAAACAGTCCGTTCATGGGTTTTGCCTTCACAACTCTCTTCAGGAATATGTGACCCACGCTGCTAAAAAGAACTGCCTGAGACTGGGTAATTTATAAAGTAAAGGGGTTTAGCTAACTCACAGTTCCACATTGCTGGGTGGTGAGTGGTGCTCAGGAAGCTTACAATCATGGTGGAAGGGGAAGCAAACATGTTCTTCTTCACATGGTGGCAGGAGAGAGAAGTGCAGAACAAAGGGGGAAAGCCCCTTATAAAACTATCAGATACTGTGAGAACTCACTATCATGAGAACTGCATGGAGGAACCACCTCCATGATCTAATTACCTCCCATGAGGTCCCTCCCCCAATACAGGGGGATTACAATTTGGATTACAATTCAAGATGGGATTTTAGTTGGTGACACAGCCAAACCATATCAAGATAGTAATCACGTTTTTTTTTAAATCATTCTGTTTGAATATATTATCACTATTTATCTATTATAAAAGCCTTCTTTATTTAGATAAATCATCCTGTATATCTGAGATCTGTGGCCCATAGAAATAACAAGGTTAAAGTGTTAACAAGAAATCAATGAAGTCATATATGTTTGAGGTTTAAACAAATCATGAAATGAAGATCATGTTATTCATTCATGAGCATTATTTATTGTTATTTCACTGTTTACCAACTGCAATTAAGTGATACATATTTTAAGATGGAATTTTGTGAAAATTGTAGGAATCACTCTTTCCTCTTAAATAAGTTTTATGTGTTAAAATTAAGCGTCAGTGTTTCCTTTCAGGTTTTATATTTATCCCCAAAGGGAGAAGTAAAATCATCACACAGCAGAACAATGGGAGTAAATTGTAGAATTTATCTATCAGGAATATAAAGGATAGGATCATTTTTGAAAGATAACATTCTGAAATGTTTACACATTCTAAATCTCATAGATATGCTGTTATCTGGAATCTGAAAAAAAGGAATAAAGAACAGTTTTACATTTCAAATGGTTCCCCAAGCAATAATGTAGATGAAAACAATTATAATTTAACTTTCTTACAACCAGAAAAAAATGCCTGTCAATTGGAATATCAGCCTATTGTCAATAAAAGTGATTCTCTGAACTTAATTTCAAAATACCTTACCAGTATTCCTTGAACATAAGAAAGTGCTAGCAGGAAGGACTCCAGAGTATATGTGAAATAGGTTTAAAGGAAAAAAACTAATAAAAGTAAACAAACAAATATATAAAATATGTTACTATTGTTTTCTATTTTATTTTTTGAAAAATATTTTTAAATATACCATTTCACCCTTAATTTTAACACATAAAACTTTTTTTCTTTTTTGTAGATCTGTCTCTATGAAAGAAAAGATTGTAGGTAGGCATTATGCAATCTATCAGTGAAAGGGATGTGTGAATGTGCCCTTGAGTACCAGCCATTAGAATGACAGATCACTGCATTTTCTCTTCAGTTAGAAATTCTACTACCCCTGGAAATACTGATAACTTTTTGGAAGACTGTATCTATACCGTTTCATCTAGTCTTTATTGATATATGATTTTAAAATATTTTCTTGGTTGGTACAGACAGCACTAATGATGCATGTAGCTTGCCAAAATAGACATTTTTGTTTATAAATGTTAGGAGAATTTTGTATAATCTTAGATACCACATACCTTACCTGGGGAAACTGAAAATGAAATATCACATTTTATTTTCGTATTTGACTTTCCAAAGTCGGATACCATAAATATGAGCTTTGAAATTTATTGAGCTCCAATGATGTTCTTTGCCAGATCAAATATTCTACTGCAATTTCAATTTACTAAATTTATGTGTGAAAATTAAAATTTAATCTTAAAAAGTTTAAATATCACTGGTATTATTATTCCCTAAATTAAGTTTTTATTTTTGTAAGTCTTAAAACTTTGGGAGTAACTGGGGTACAAATTAACAAAGCACAGTCCATTTATTTCATCAAAAATTCACAGCAGATTTCAACCTGCTTGAGAAATGCTTAATTTAAATAGAAATAAAATGTGCTTACATGAATAAAAATTAGTGATAACTTTCCATTTCCTGATATGCATATTGTGACATTAAAAATTATGTAACATTTTATTTAAGGTATATAGAGAAAGTGTCATCAGTAAATTGTTGTTTCTTATCCACTAAAACTTGCTTTTAGATATTCTATATTGCCAAATAACTCTTACTAATTTTTTTTTTGTTTAGTTTTCTTTGTTGTACTTCTTCAAATAATGGTTATTCTCTGGAATTTCCAGCAACGTGGTGAACTAAGTTGATCTAAATGTACTCTGAATACTGAGAAATACTGGGGAAAATATGTGCAGAACAACTGAATTATGAAAAAGGAAATAAAAATATCCATATTCCACAAATGAAGAAGTAAAATAATGTTGGTTTTGAGGGTGCCAGTCTATGCAGCTCAGATAGTTCCAGAATTTTAGCACCAAGGTAACAAAAGGACATAAACTACAGTCCTTCTGGATGAGAGGATGATATGTTGATACCTGTAAGAATCCAAATCATGGAAGTGATTCCTCTATGAGTTGAGAATAAGTAAAATTCACCTTGAAATGACAGTAATCAAAATAGTGTGGTACTGGTATAATGAGAGGCATGTAAACCAATGAAAAAGAATATATAGCTCAGAAATAAAACCTTCTATATAGGTTCACATTATTTTCAACACAAATGCCAAGGCCATGCAATGGAGAAAGATTACTCTTCTAAACAAATTATGTTGGGAAAACTGGATGACTACATGCAAATGAATGAAATTGGACCCTTGCCTTGTGACTTATACAAAAACCAACTCAAAATGAATTAAAGACCTAAACATAAGAGCTAAATGTCTACAGCTCTTAGAAGAAAACACAGCAGAAAAGATTCATGACACTGGATTTGGCAATTATTTGTTGGATATAACATCAAAAACTCACAAAAGAAAAAAATGGGTAAATTGTACTTGATAAAAATTAAAAACATCTGTTTATCGAAGGACATTCTCAACAGATTAAAAATTTAAGGAATGAAAAATAATTGCAAATAATGTATCTAATATGAAATTAATATCCAGATTATATAAAGAATTCCTATGACTCAACTACAAAAAAAGTTGATTCAAAAATAAACAAAATACTTGAATATACATTTCTCTCCAAAGCAGATAAACAAATAGCCAATAAACACTTGAAAAAAAGCTCAGAATTTGTAATCATCAGGTAAATGCCAATCACAACCAAAGAGATAGCACTTTATACCTGTTAGAATGGGATGGCTATTACTAAAAACAACGACAACAACAACAAGAACCACCAAGAAAATAATGTGTTGGCAAAGATGTGGAGAAAGTGGAAATCTTGTGTATTGATGGTGGGAATGTAAAATGGTGAATCTGGTATGGAACACAGTAATCTATATAGCAGAAAATTAAAAATAGAATTACCATATGGTCCAGCAATTCTGACTATATTTCCAAAAAGATAGAAAACAAGGACTTGAACAGATATTTGTGGACCCAAGTTCATAATTAACATTACACACAGTAGTCAAAGGGAAGTAATCTAAGTGTCCATTGATAGATGTACTGATAAATAAAATGACGTAGATACATAGGATATTTTTCAGCCTTAAAAAGAACATTCTGGCACCGGATGCAGCATAGATGAACTCTAAAGACATGATAAATGAAATAAGCTGGTCACAGAAGGGAAAAGTACTGCATAAATTCACGTATGTGAGATGCTTAGATTTGTCAAATTCATAGAAACACAAAGTAACATGGTGGTTACCTGAGACTGGGGGGAGAATAAAAAAGAGTCATTGTTTAATGGGTACTGAATTTCAGATAGGGAAGATGAAGAGTTTTGGAGAAGGATGGTGGTGATGATTGTACAACACTGTGATTGTACTTCATGCCACTGAACTGTACACTTAAAGATGGCTAAAATGGATGGTAAATTTTATGTTATATATTCTTTACCATAATTTTTAAAAAAGCAAAGCTCAGTTGGGTGGCAGAGAAACTTGTAACATAACTGTATTTTATGAATTATGTTACATTCTCTTCAAAAAGTCAATAAATTTACTTGAAAATATGGCTACCCAAGCTGGTATAACCTAACTCACTGTGAATCAGCTAGTCAGTTATCTAGCTAGTTAAAATTACCTGTGTCATTTATGTGTATATCCATTGTAAGAAAATGTGTGCTATAAAATTTAAAACATACATTTTCTAGTAATTTTTATACTTATGATACATGAATAGGCAAATGTAGTTATAAGAAAAACTTTTCTTATGTGTTGCTTTGGACACGTTATCTAGCAAGGACAATGTGTTTCTCTGAGGCTTTGGTGGCCATTTCCTATTTCCATTACTTTCCTTTCACTGTAATTTTGAAGAGGTAACAGATTTTATTCTCTTCATTCAAAATAAATTATTTAATTGCTGAGGGGAGGAAATAAAAGGCAAATATATAATTTAGATATTATCTACCATATATGTTGTCTCATAACAGATATTGGACACTAAGAAATATTTATTTGAACTGAATAAATGAGTTTCAATTGAAACTTTATTTCAGGTTGATTTTAAGCTTTCAGCAGATATTTACACTTGTTCAAGAAATTAAAATCCAATATATTTTTATTTAAATAGTTATTTATTGGTTGTGAGTACTTATTGCTTTTAAATGTATAATTATAAAAATACTTTATAATTAGTGAAAAAAAGACTTCAACAAATTAACTCCAATATATGTTGCTCACATAACAATTTTAAATTGATATATTACCTTAAACTGCACTGCAACCATATATTTTTAGCTTTCTTACTGAATTTAATAAAATATTCCTGTGAAGTCTTTATAGTTATAAACATTTTTGATGATAATTTCATTTTGGATCAATGTTTCTTCCTCCTGGCAGGAAATATTTTATTTAAGTTGGTCTGCTGACTATAATATTTCTGCTAAATGTAGTGAGGAAAAAATAATTTAAATTTTAAATTCATTTTAATTTGATTACTAAATACCCTTTAGGGACAACATTTTTCTGTCAAGATAATTAATAATTTTAAAATATGTTTTCAATATGTATTTGCCTGCAAGAAAATATATAATACAATGTCTTGGGAGAACATCCATTGTATATTTCTAACTGTGATATTTTCTATGTAACTGCTTGGAATGTGGCTACATTAATATCCAAAATTAAACATAAAAGATACACATTGTTTTTTGTAAAGTCAGCCCCTGAGATAATAGCTTACTAATATCAAAAATAACTAAAATATTTTGCTTCTATCAGCTTAACCAGTTTCTAATTTGTTTCCCTGAATTGTATCCAGATCCTTACTGATACAACTATTTCACTTTACAAGCTCTTTCTCTCATATCTACATTTCCAAAATACATATTGAGTGACTATTATCTGAATGAAATTCTTTTAACCTTTGTTCAAAACATTAATGTTTTCAAAGGAGAGGAACAAAACAATGCTAAGTAAAGTGCGTATTGAGAAAACTCAAGCACTGAGCGTAAGTTATTATTTTCATTTGCAAATGATAGCACAAGGCAGGTGGCATTATTTTTTTCTTTTCTAATTGTTTTGTTTTTTGAATCAAGTGGAGAAACACCTTTCATGACTTGGGAAAGAGTGCTATTTGTAAAAGTTTTATTCTCCGATGATTAAAATATTTATAGATATCAAAAGGTGGGTGAATGGTAGTGAATGTTGAGATGGGGTAGAGAAGAATGTGTTTAAGGGAGTCATTGATACCAAACCAGAATGCAGGCCTAGCTCATATGGAAAAACAAAACAAAGCAAAACAAAACAAAACATGGAAGTGTTTTAAACTTGATTTAGTGGGAGATAGAAATCAATCTTTTAATGAAAATCCAAAGCTAATATTAGAATAAAGCTGGATTATCAAGGATAAACCTTTTCTATAAATACTGTGTTGAATAAATATGTTGAGAATCAGTGTGGCATAGTGAAGAAAATCTAAAACTCTAATGTTAGATCTAATGGAATGGGAATCCTGATTTTGCCTCTTGAGGGGTTATCGAATTTACTAGAAGTATGTAAATAATCTGTACCCTCATTTCATATATAAAATGTGAATAGTAAACTCTTTTGAGATTTTCTAAGAATTAAGGTAAAATGTAAAGTTCAAGTAAATGAGCTAGACTATAGAAAGTACTGTTTATTGCTGTTGTTCTTAATTATTTATATTTTAATAATAGCATAATTACTTTGTTTTTGTAGGGAACTATCCTTCAATATGCAGACCTGTGTCTACTGGTAGATAACCTTTACATTTTAGTCATACAGTTATGAACAAAAGCTGGATGTAGGAAAAATAATAACATAACCTTTATTGCTGTACTTATGAAATTAAAATTCTCTGAAGACAAATTTTATAGTCCATTAATTTCATGTCCTTCTTTACAGAATGCCTGCAAGTTTAATGGCCAACAATATGTTTAGGTGCAGTGCCCTTTGTACTTAAGTGTGATGCCTTAGAAAGAATTGAGAAATATTCTAACCAGTGGACCTAAACACTGGAGACTGTTATATTGATTTAGTTAAAGTGGGTCAGAAATTAACTCCTGCCACAAAGTGAAGTATTTTCTTTGGTTTTGCAAAATAAGAAAAAAAAATCAGGAATGTAGAATGCTACAATGCCAATACCAAGGAGAAGCAGTTAAAATAAGTTTAGACGTTGGTATCGGTCCTTGCTTCATTGATTTTCGTAACCTATCTTAGAAGAGGATGGCTTAGATGAAAATGCTGTAGCAGATCCTAGAAGGCTCTACAGTTTAACACTGTCAGTAAACCCCATATTTCACAGCTGAAAGTCAAGTTCTTTCTTGAGAGAGGTGTGAAGAGTGCACCTCCATAACTGCTACAAGTGGTGAATTGTGACAGAATGATGAATAGTTGTTAGACTCCTCATTCTTTCAAATAACTAGTAATATCTGTACCTTAAGGTAGCAGTAAACAAAATGACTTCTTTGGTCATCATTATATTGCATCAACATGCATGACTAAATTTTATAATGAGGTTTGAATAATCAAAATTATGCATTTACATCCCCGTACTACATTAATTAATAATTTTTTTCAATAGTTTTACTAGGTCCTAGCCTGAAAACACCAATATCAAGATTTATTAACCAGATTAAAATTTACAGAATTAAGTTGGCAACAAAGGATTATACCCCAAAATCTTTTTGAAATTACGTTCAAAATAGGTTACTGTGTATGAAAGATAATGTATATAAAACATAATATTTTTGTTCCATACTGCATAATATTATCTAATACTTTGGAGGAAATTAGTGAATGACTATTTGCTAAAATAATGAACTGATTTATTAACTGCTTTCTTGTTGGTTATCAACGTGTAAGTTATTGAGAAATAAAGGACATATTTAAGTAAAACCAATTTTCACCCAGAGTACGACAGCACTGGAATAAACTGCATTTGGATTTTCCAGTAGTTGTTTAAAAATTTTATTAAAATACACAACAAGTTCTCTTCTAATTTATTTCTACACCTCATTGTTTGTTTCATCTTCTTTTATTTTTTTATTCCAATGAATAAATTCCAAGCATTTATTAGTGCCTTACATACACTAATTACTGTTTTTTGAATAAATACATGCTGTTGGATAGAGTACAACACATGAGGGCAAAGAGAGGCTAGCTCTTTCTCTTTCATCAAAGTACTAACAGGAATTACCGGAACCTTTTCCTTATCTGAAAGACACTTGTAAACTCATGGTTTTCACTCTGTCTACATTTTCAAGAGAGCCAAATATTCAACATTAAAACATGACTTTAAAGAAAATAGCAGAGTAAAAATTAAAATGAAATGTTATGGATCTAGTAGTTTTCAAGAAAGATTGTGGGCTGGGCATGGTGGCTCATGTCTGTAATCCCAGCACTTTGGGAGGCCTAGGTGGGTGGATCACCTGAGGTCAGGAGTTCGCGACCAGCCTGGCCAACATAGTGAAACCCCATCTCTACTAAAAATACAAAAATTAGCCAAGTGCGGTGGTGGGCACCTGTAATCCCAGCCACCTGGGAGGCTGATGCAGGAGAATCATTTGAACCTGGGAGGCGGAGGTTGCAGTAAGCCAAGACTGCACCATTGTACTCTAGCCTGGGAAACAAGAGCAAAACCCCATCTAAAAAACAAACAAACAAAAAAACAAAAACAGAATGATTGTGAAGCCGGGGGCATGGTGGCTCATGCCTGTAATCCCACCAATTTGGGAGGCTAAGGCAGGAGAATCACTTGAGGTCAGGAGTTTGAAACCAGCCTGGCCAACATGATAAAACTCCATCTCTACTAAAAATACAAAAATTAGCTGGGCATAGCGGCACCACCTGTAATCCCAGCTACTCGGGAGGCTGAGCCACAAGAATCACTTGAACCCAGGAGGCGGAGGTCACCTGAGCTGGGATCACGCCACTACACTCCACCCTGGGCGACATAGTGAGACTCTATCTCAGAAAAAAAAAACAAGCAAGCTGTGAATGAAGGCTTTTTCCAATCAGTTAGGACATTAAATGTCTGAGTACTTTCTTGAGCACTCATTTCAATACCAGTCCTCCAAAATAATGAGTCTACTCTAAAAGAATATAAGTGGGAGCTAAACACTGAGCACACATGGACATAACATGGAAACAACAGACATTGCAGGCTATTAGATGAGGTAGGAAAGGCAGAGGCTGTGGGTTGAAAAACTACCTGTTGGGTACTATGCTCACTACGTGGTAGCAAAATATCCATGTAACAAACCTACAAATGTATCTCCATATCTATAATAAAAGTGGATCCTAGGGAAATAGTTACAGAAATTTGGAAAGACAGTTCTGTAAGGATATTAATCACATTATTTGTTATTGCAAAACAATTGGAAACAACCCAAATTTTGTCAGTGAAGTTTTGGTAAAATAAATTAAGATATATATGTAGGTATATATATACCTATATGTAGATATAGATATATACATACACATATATACATATATACTTTTGCATACATACATATGATATATATGAGATATATATATACACTTATATATATAATACAACCTTCATTATTTTTAAAATTTTTTCCTAAAAAAAGACTTGCAGTGATTGAGAGAAAGATAAACTCTCAATATTTAACGCAATATTTTGAGGCTTTTTATTTACTATTTCATTGTCTTCTAGCTAAATTGCACATTCCATTGAAAATTTTAATAATCAAACAAATAACTTACTTGCCTAAAGGATTTTATGACCTGCACAGTAAATTCTTTTATTCTGTTTATTTTCCCAGGCAGTGGCAAATACCCAGACCCTAGGTTTGTGCCTCAGGTATATGGTCTAATAGAAACTCTATTGCACAAAAATATGTTTTCCACAAAAATATGTTTTCCACAGTCTAAAAGGTCTCTGCGGGCAGTTGTTCCTGGAAGACCAACTCTCTGGATTTGCTTTGACTTTCAATGATGTTTCCTGCAGGCAGGCAAGACTCTAAACACAGTTTCTCTCATCCAAGCATCTGGTAAATTTTATAGACAGTAGTTTACTGATCATTCTGACATTGAGTAGATTATTACTGACTGGTATCTGACATTCTTTTATAATGCCCTCCTGTTGAGAAAATCTGGACATGTCAAAATTGAAGCATATTTAGATGTTAAGTGTGTCAGATAATATTAAACAAAAAAATCAATAATACAAATTTAAATTGAGTTGCACAAGAATTTGAAATCAAGCAGCAATGAAACACATAACTATTTCGGTGAAACTTTGAAGCTCATACACACGAGAGAGTTTAAAAATTCTCTACTGCTCGTGTAAGAAATTACAACAAATTTAGTGACATAAACGAATGAATTCTCTCACAGTTCTGGAAATCAGAAGTTCTAAATCAGTTTCACTGAGTTAATGGCAAGACTTATTCCTTGTAGAGGCTCTGAGGTGAAAATCCTTTTATTGGCCTTTCCTAGCTTCTAAAGTTTCTTTTCTCACATTTCTGGGCTTACCCTTCTTCCAACTTCAAAGCCAGCAGTATAACATCTTTAAATCACTACCTCCCTCTTAACATCTCTTCTGTCTTTCTAATTACTTCTCTCTTATAAGGACTCCTTTGATTAAATCAGAACCACCCACATAATCCAAGATAACCTTTCTGTCCCAAGGTCCTTAATCACACTGGCAGTCTCTTTTCCCATATAAATTAACACTAGTTTCTGTGGATTAGGGCAAGGACGTGGCATATTTATGGCCTACCATAAATCTTTAATATTAGAAATCATTATATATATTTTATGCATAATTTATACATATTTTGGACTATGTACGAACATATAATTGAAACTCTACTCAAATATTTGACTTTCACTCAAATCTTGATATTTACTTGGCACTTATTTTTATTTTAATAATATCATGTAACAATTATTAATACTATAATATTTCATCATATTGCATAGGTTCAGCCTTTTGAGAAATGTTTAAGGTGTTAAATACTTATATTTAGATGACTTAGATGACAGAGCAAAATTTTTTCTTTTTTTTTTTTTTTTTAGACAGTCTCACTCTGTAGCCCAGGCTGGAGTGCACTGGCATGATCTCGGCTCACTACAACCTCTGCCTCATGGGTTCAAGTGATTCTCTTGTCTTCCTGCCTCAGCCTCCTGAATAGCTGGGATTATAGGCACACACCACCACACCCGGCTAATTTTTGTGTTTTTAGTGGAGACAGGGTTTCATCACATTAGCCAGGCTGGCCTTGAGCTCCTGACCTCAAGTGATCCTCCTGCCTTGGCCTCCCAAAGTGCAGAGCAACTTAGGCTGGGATAAGCTTGCATGACTTGTTTCTAACCTACTTGGTTGTCGGTTGAGCTTGCACCTGTAGTCAGCTGGTAGTCTATGGTCATATCCATATATATAGTGGTCAGCTTGGTTCTTGAAAAGCTTGATGGAAGTAACTGGGCTGCTCATCTTCAGAAATTTTTGGGGGGTTTTCACATGGAGGTGATCATCGAGTTTAATAGAGTAGCAAAAGATGGCATGTCCCACTACAGAGTATATGTATGTTTCATGTCTCTGCTTGCATCATAAATACTATTGTACCATTTACCAAAGTGAATTATATGGCCAAATCCAGATTAAGGGCAATAAATTCAGAAATATAAAGCTCTTGATAGAACACAGCTCTTGATGGTTTCAAAGTCAAATGACAAAAAGTTGTGCATGCTGGAATTGTAGCCATTTTTGCAATCTACCACACTTAGGATGTTGATTCCTAAACCAATTATGTCAAAGGTAATTGCATTACCATTATCATTGCAGTCAAATACAAGAGTTATTCAAATACTGTAATAGAGTTGGAATTATTTTTTCAAGGTAAAAGTTTAAGGAGCTAGCAAAAGACTTGGGCTAGCAGAGGTGCCTATTCTATTCATCCCTCCCTAAACATTCAAAGGGCATGTGATCTAACAAATAATTTAGAAGCTCTTACCAGAACTTTTAATCTTAAGCCTAGGAAACAAACATCATATTTAGATGTGGAAAATTCCTATGATATAGTTCTAAAAATGTTTTCAATTATCTCCTGTTACCTTGATTCCAGTCCTTCCTAATAATCTTCAAACTGCCTATAACTTACCAATAATTGTCAGTAATACAATATTTGTTGTATTCCTTACTTTTTGAGACATTTCTTAATTGAAATATTTTATCTGTATTTTTCTCAACAACTGACCTAAATTTTTTAGCTCATTCTGTTGTAATCCAACATTGAATAAAAATTTGAAATATTTACAAATCCTGCATAGACTGATGTGATTTACAGGTGAAATCCTACTTATCGGATGTTTATTGGAGCTTCTTTAGTGTTAAGATCTATAAATATGTAAAAGGACATGTAGGGATCCCTGATTTTAGCCTGTTAAAAACAAGCATTAAGATCAATTTAATTTGTAAGATGATAAGACAAGACAAAACAAGATAATATAATAAGACAAAAAAGAAAACACCTGTATGTTTTCCTTTTGCACCTATTTTACATGATATTCAGTTGCTGATGTTTCAGCTAAAATCATGAACGTGGAAGCTGTATGATCTTTAAGTTTTGCCATTATGTTTATGAAACAGATCACTGTTTGAAAAATCCAGAACACTAGTCCAATCCCATTGAGCAGTGACTACTATCCTGACTAGATAATTGTAATGTATACAATAATTAAAATGTTCAGATCAGTTTTATTCTCTGCTAGGTTGTAATAAAGCTTTATGGGTAGCTATAATTAACCTCTATTTATGTTAATTGTGAGCTTTTAGGGATCTTGCAGTTGTTTACCATGCAATTCTCTTAAAAGATGTCTGAAGCAGCATAAAGAGTATACACAGCAAGACTTGTAGCCATAGTCATTCAGTATGGAAAAATAAAAAGTTGCTAACAGTGACATGCAGAGGTCATTTATTTTTTGTTCACTATGAATTATTTAATTTGTTCCCTTATTAGGTATAGGAAGGTCATTTATGGCATCAAATAATTTTCTCAGAATGAGCTCAGGCTCTCAGTGGAGCTCCCAGGCTAACCTATGAAAGGTGGAAGATATTATCAATTTTCTCTACATCCACCATACTATTATTGTCTCCAAGGTTAGCTGAAGAGATGTAGCGAAATTCTGCCCCAAATGAGAACATAATGGAGACTAGACCTTTGGGTCGTGTCGTTATATTTCAAGCATCAGGGCTTCGCCTCTACTAGTTCCTTTGTTACATCTGTTCCTAGAGTGCTTTCTTTTTTTGTGGTTCTTATAAGGACCCTGATATTACCTTTGCCAACATCAAGGGCAGAATCACAATAGAAAGTATAGATGTGTAGCTCAGCAGTGGAAAGTTACTTAAAATAGAACTATTATTTTAAAATTGACATAAGAACCACAGTTTCAATTTACTTTGGATGTGAACACTAAAGTCTTCTGCTTGTATTTCTTTCCCACATATACATACATATATATATATATATATATATATATATGAATTGTGATATGTATATCACAATTTATTTTGTCAATTCAAAGTATATCTAACCATAACCCCAATTCATCTGAAAGACATTTATACATTTATAATTTTTAAAATTGAGAAACTTTAGTAACTGCAGGAGACTGAGGTAGAATTAATGCCAAGTATTGGGGAATTTCTATTGTTATGGGTCAAAACCTCACATTTATTTCCCTAATTACTTCTTCCAGTAGTCTCTACTCTATTTCTATATAGCAGGCACTGTATTTCAGGACCTAGAATTTTTCTTTCCTCAGGCAGCTCTTGCTACCAACTGTTAAATCAGAAATTATGCAGGATTTGAGATATTACCCTGTTAATATAACTGCCACAATTTTATAAACACACATATGTACACACAAACACACACACATATACATATATATGTACACACACACACATATATATAGATTCCTGCATATATATGTACATATATGGTATATATGAAGTGTATCTAAAATATATAAATCTCTATATATGTGTGTGTATATCTCTATCTCTGTTTTTATCAATCTGTATCTATTAATAGGAACACCATACTTCTGGATCAGAGAACAGACCTTTTATTTACTCATACCTAGAACAATCTGAGAAGCAGTGGCTGCCCATGCACCAGTTCCCCACAGAGTGAAAAAATGGTAGCAAAATCTACATGCTCTGTCCCCTGTACATGCAGGGCTTTGCACCAGACAAAATGCATCTGGGAATATAAAACCTGGAGCTTATTTAGGGAAGCTGGTACATTACACCATTCTCCCGCTGAAGAAGAGTGAGGGAGGCCTTTGTTCTGGAATGTAAACACATCCTCTCTGAGAAAGAGTGAAGGAAGGGGGCTGAGGAGAAGGTCTTTAATTCTCTTTTACTACTCTAAAATATAAACAAATGACTTGGGATTCATTATCCTTAGAAGGTAAGCAAAAGGATTCAAGGAAGAAGCAATTTTACTTTTCATTGGCAAGAAAAAAAAATCTCTAACTTCAAAGACATGCTTCCCATGCAACCTTCTTTAAACCAAGATACCAGTACTCTTCGCTCTGAAAGCCCTGACCATGCAGAAACATGCAAATATTCATGAAGCCTTATTATCCAACACCACCATAATGTGTGTGATGGTTAATAATGAGTGTCAACTTGATTGGATTGAAGGGTGCAAAGTATTGTTCCTGGGTGTGTCTGTGAGGGTATTGCCAAAGGAAATAAACATTTGAGTCAGTGGACTGGGAGAGGCAGGCCCACCCTCAATCTGGGTGGGCACGATCTAATCAGTTGCCAGCATGGCTAGAATAAAGCAGGCAGAAGAACATGGAAGGACTTGACTTGGTGAATCTTCCAGCCTTCATCTTTCTCCCATGCTGGTGCTTCTTGCCCTAAACATAAGAACTCCAAGTTCTTCAGCTTTTGGACTCTTGGCCTTATACAAGGGATTTGTCATGGCCTCTTGAGCCTTTGGTCACAGACTGAAGGGGGCACTTTTGACTTCCCTACTTTTTCGGTTTTGGGGCTCGGACTGGGTTCCTTCCTCCTCAGCTTGCAGACGGCCTATTGTGGGACTTCACCTTGTGATCTTTTGAGTCAATTCTCCTAATAAATTCCCCTTCATATATACACATATCCTATTAGCTCTGTCTACTTAGAGAAGCCAGACCAATACAATGTGCTTCCTCATATATTCACCAATCCTGGGCTTCTAAACTCCAAGAAATCCCTCTCTTCTTTTAAACTATAGTCCTCAAATTAATAGCATGTCTCTTCCTCTATCATCCTGGGCAGCCAACAAACAGTTTTCAATAATTTTAAACAATTCTCAAAAGATAACAAGAGCCAGTGCCTTCAAATGATTGGTGATTTCTTCTTTATAAAACCATCTTTAATGAAAGGAAAGTCAAAATGTGAAAATAATATGACACAAGACAAAACAAATATGGGATAAATAACAAATTCAGCAGCCCAACAATTTATACTGCCAAAGGTTCCTTCGTTACAGCCTTGCCTTGATAGTAGATCCTCCTCTTACACAATGACTTTTATTACTGAAAATGTAATTTTGCATTGTACAGCCTCCACAAATTCTGATATGAAAATCTTTAAATGTTGTTCTAAGTGTTTAAACAATGTTCTTTGTCTTCTTTCCTTTTTCTTTTCATGTTATTTTAATTTAGAAATAGAAAACATCTTGGAAGAAATAAAAAGGAAGAAACCACAAAATATTCAGCAAATTTTCACTCCATGAGCTTCTCAAACCCTCACTTGTTCACCCATCCCTAAGATGGAAAACACTCCTCCAAAACATATTCAGCTACCAGCAATTATGTTATTAATAGGAATATGAACCAATTGCACAGAAAATCCAATGAATCCCATTATAGCAAATCTTATTGCTGTTGCCATGGCAATCTTCTGAAATTTTTTTCTATCAGGTTCGGAGCATCTTTAACCAGCTGAACTGAGTCCTTTACAAACTGCCAACTTGGCTCAACAAACTGTATTACATGATCCATGATTGCCTGTACCAGCTAAGATGCCCAAACCATGTTCTTTCATTTGAGGAGACAATCAAATATTTTTGAACAGGGTTGTGTCCATAATGGTAATTTATAGTAATTATTTCAGTGGCAATTGGGTCAAAATATTAATGTGGATACATAGGAGACTGGGAAAACACAGCAGAGAATATTGCAATAGTCTAGGTGTAAGACCATACATTCATAAATCATTCTAGCAATGAAAATAATAAAAAGATGACTTTGAAAGTAGGAGACATTTGAAAATAGTAACTCATACATGAGTTTTCAAGTATGGGATAGTTAAAATTCAAAATCAACAACACTTATGTAGTGAGAATAATGAAAATATCCTTGATTACAAGTAAAGGAAAAACAGAATAGAGAACCCAGAAATAAATCCATGCATTTACAATCAACCTGTTTTAGACAAAGTTGACAAAAATATACATTGTGGTAACATACATCTCTTCAATAAATGGTATTGTAAAAACAGGATATCCATATGCAGAAGAATAAAATTAAACCCCCATTTCTTGCCACATAAAAATTAAATCAAAATAAATGAAAGACTTAAATCTAAGACTGGAAACTATAAAACTACCAGAAGAAAACACTGGGGAAATGCTTCAGGACATTTAAGCAAAGATGTCTTGAGTAAGACCTCAAAAGCACAGGCACTCAAAGCAAAAATGGACAAATGAGATCCCATCAAGCTTACAAGCTTTGGCATAACACAGGAAATTATTAACAGAATGAAGGACAATCTACAGAATGGAAGGAAATATTTTAAAACTATTCAAATGGCAAGGAGTTGGCCAACAGGTATATGAAAACATGCTTAACATAACCAATCATCAGAGAAATATAAATCAAATAAGTTTTATCCAAAAGATAGAAAATAAAAAAGCTAACAAGGATGTGAAGAAAAATGAATCTTTGTACACTGTTGGTAGGAATGTAAATTAGTAAAACCACTATCGAGAACAATATGGAGGTTCCCCTAAAAACTATAGATAGAACTACTTGATGATCCAGAAATCCAACTGCTGAATACATATTCAAAGAAAATAAATCAATATATTAAAGAGATATCTGCATTCTCATTTTTATTGCAGCACTATTCACAATAGCCAAAATATTGAATGAAACTAAGTGCCCATCAACAGATAAAAAGATAAAGAAAATGTCACAAATATCCATAATAGAGTATTATTCAGCCATAAAAGTAATAAAATTTTGTCATTTGTAGCAACATTGATGGAATTAGAGGTCAGTATGTTAAATAAAATAAGCCAGACACAGAAGGACAAATATCACATGTTCTTACCATATATGGGAGTTTTAAAAAGTGATCTAGGGAGGCCGAGGCGGGCGGATCATGAGGTCTGGAGATCGAGACCATCCTAGCTAACATGATGAAACCCCATCTCCACTAAAAATACAAAAAAAAAAAAAAAAAAAATTTGCCCAGTGTGGTGGCGGGCGCCTGTAGTCCCAGCTACTTGGGAGGCTGAGGCAGGAGAATGGCGTGAACCTGGGAGGCGGAACTTTCAGTGAGCCAAGATCAAGCCACTGCACTCCAGCCTGGGCAACAGAGCGAGACTCTGTCTCAAAAAAAAAAAAAAAAAATGTGATCTAATGAAAGTAAAGAGTAGATTGATGGTTATCAAGAGCTGAGAAAGGTATTGGGAAGGGTGGGTCAAGAGGAGCTGGTTAATAGGCACAAAAATACAGTTACTAGAAATTAGAGCCAGTGTTCAGTAGCAAAATAGAGTGACTACATTTAGTAATAATTTATTGCATGTATATTTCAAGATAACTATAGAGTAGATCTGAAATGTTTCTAACACAAAGAAATGAGAAGTGTTTGAGGTGACAGATATCTCAATACTCAGATTTAATCATTGCACATTGTATGCTTGTATCAAAATATCACATGTACCCCACAAATATATACAGGGAAAGGGGAGTTTATTTAAGGAATATTATGTTTTGAATTCTTTTTAGAATAGCTGTGTAGAATGGTACAATACTCTGGACTGTCACTATGAGAACACTAGGCTTAATTAATCTTGGGTATGGCAAATAAAATTATATTTATGTTTTTTCTATTAGAACCCCTGATTTTTCTCTTTTCTTCTTCACTTAATGAAGCCGCATTTCTGGTGGTAACTTTGTCTCAAAGACAAGAATGACACACCTTTCTTATGAAGTTTTCACTACTGTGACATTGTTTTCAGGAACGTTAATTGTCAAAGGTGGCATCGAAACTTCACAGCTCTTCACTTAGCCTCTGAAATCTTTGCAATATATTTTGAGTATGTGTTCCAGAGTATATATCTTTTTGTCTTAAGAAACTAATTCCACGTAGTTCGACTTTATTCCATTAGAGATATTATATTATAAGCTCTGGCTAATTCAGTGAATTAGTAGTATATTCATGTTTAGTGAATCAATATAATTGCACATCTAATCATGGATTTTTTTCCTGTGCAATTTTAATGCATTTTACAGATGAATAGAAAACTGTACTTCTAATATTAATTAATGACCATTTGTTCTTTTAAAGTGTTACTGCAAAAAATGTTCTTAGTAATCATTGTCTGCTTTGCTTTTCTGTAATACAGGTGTCACATTCTGATATCAACATATACCTTTACATTTATTTCCTTTTATTTTCATACAATTTTATATGAATTATAGGCATTAAATCTTAAAGCTTTAAAATTCCCTAAGAAGGTATAACTAATATGATGTTATAATTGAAGAACAAGCATATACACAACCTTGAGCTAATCTAATTTTCTAATTTATTTAAAAAGATTTAAAGCAATTAGACTCATGTTAATAAGTAAGCTTATCTTTAGAACTCCCCTGGTAATATAGTATGGTGCATATCTGCATGTGATATCTAGAAGCTTGTAGCAATCTCAGGATCATAAGTCCTTATTTGTTTTTCCAGTGGCTATATTTGTTTGAATAGACAGATGTAACAAGGGTGAGCATATATATGATATGTAGGAAGTTTAACTTTTTATAGATAGTACTACAATGGTTAAACTGTCCAAATAGATAAACTTTCATGTTTTTCAGACTATAGACCACTTAGACCAGGTAAAATGCATATGCCAAATGATTTAACCTGGGAATGCAGATGTTTTCACATGAAGGGGAGGGGATAAACATAAGAACTTCATGTGCCTTGTTAAAATACTTAATATAGCTCTCTCTTTCCATGTCACACTCTCTTTTTGACTTTTGTAGATTTAACTGTGAAGTTGGGGAAAAAAATACACATTGTACTCTGTCTTGTGTTGACATGAGAATATGCAATAATCCTCCTTGGGTTAGATTTTGAGAGACCCTAGATTTAAAGAGAAAACATTTTTATGAGTAATAGTCTTGATGTTATAAATCCATAGGGATAACTAGGTCATAATTATGAATAAACTCATAGTAAAGTTAGCACAAAATGAAATGCTGTCAATTTATATCTTTGAGATAGAAAAATAGTTTGTATAAATTAAGGCATATTTTGAGAAATATTTTATAATATTTTTCAACTGTGTGTAATTTCTTTACAAATATTAAACTAAATGAGCTAGGAGAGAATTAAAGATACATCTATTTGTAAGAATACTTCCTACTTTTGAAATACTTTATTTGTGGAAATAACTTTAAGGGACAAATATGAAGAATGCCATGGAAGCAACCTTATGATAAGTCATTTGTTTTTCTGTAACTTGCCTTACTGTTTATCTTGTTAAGAAACTTGTTGAGCAATTCTGCTGCATCTACTGGCACCTGACAGGAGTATCATCAGTCATTGCAGAGGTTTTGGACTACAAACTCTTTTACGGGATTCAGGAGGGATATGGATTTAAATTTTAAACTGGTTTCTGTCAGTGTGACAAATGAACACCACAAAATTGTAGGACAATGGTAGAATGTCGAAATGCATGCCAAGGTAATGGGCCAATCTTCAAGTGGAATCAACAAAAATAGCCTTAAAATAGCTCCAGGTTACACCGTTATTTTCATTCTATCTCCAAGGCATAAGAACAGCATATTATTAATTTTTGTAATCACTGCATTATGTTAAGAGGCTGAATAATTTATTCCTGAGTAATTCAATCCATAGAATAATAATTTTAACAAAACTGTTAATAGAGCATTGATTGTTAGCAAAATTTTTTGAGAAGTCCAAATAAGATATTAAGACAATATATGTAAAACATTTTCTCTCGGGTTATCTTTTTCTGAGTTTATTTTGTTGGCAAACTGATTGTTGCTTTATTCCTTTATTGGTTTTTATAACACTGATAACAGTGGTATTCTAAAGTGTGCATTCTTGTCCTGATTTTTCAAATATGTTTCAGCTAGAAAGAACTAGAAAAGATTATTGCATTTTGATGAAGTGCATTTTAATATATCTGGGGACTCTTAACAAAATTAATTGAAGCAGTGACTGATATGATATGAACAGGAGCACAGTGCAGCCTGCCTCAGGCTTTAGATTCATACTCAGAAGTCAGAACTAGAAAAGTGCTTGGCTTCAAATTTTTCAATTCCCATAAGTTTTTTTATTGTACTGTGCAAAACAGCTTTAGCTGCATATTTGTTCTCTCATAATGAAATCAACATAAATGGTTCAATGTTGGTATTTTAAGACAAGTCACTTTAAGATAGTTGAAATCATATTGTACGGAATTTTAATAAAATACTAGTTGTTTAAAATTTCCAAATTAAATACTTGTCAGAGTTATTGCAACACAATGGTGAAGAAATCTTAAAAGCTAATAAGTTTTCCTAAGTATGGTTTAAACATTAATATGTTAAAGATGTATTAAATACTTACCTCCATTGGAATCTTAAGTGTTTTATAAAAACATATTCTAATTGTTTAAGAAAAAGAATAAGTTATTTTGCTCCAAAAATGCTTCGGTTAAGTCTCTTATGAATTTATTCTTTTAGTAAATTTATATCATATTTAAAATCTCAAAATCAATAATTTATGATTTCATAACATGACTGGTATCTGCTTTATTTCACAGATAATAAGGAAAAAATATATTACATTGGGGAGAAATATGTGTTTACTTTTATTAACACCTTTTAATCATTAAGGTAATAAAAACAGTAAGTAAAACCAAGTGTTCAGATAATAATAGCAGAATTTAATACTTTTCTTATGTACTTATTTATTCTTTATCTAAATTTATTCTGAATTAGAAATTATATTGGTCTAATATACAAAATTATTTAAGCATTTAAATGCTATTAAATGTGATTTTTGTTACCATACAGTATAGTATAATACTAAAGGATTGTTAAATGATTTATTATCATTACGTTGATTTCATTAATATTCTTCAATATGTCAAAATGGAAATTGTACTCAACAATGAAGTAGACCTGGTAAACTGATTTTAGCAGCCTAGTATATCTCCAGCCAGTTCAAATCTGATTGAGAGTCAACCTGATATTTTGAGAGGAGTCTGAGGAAATAAATTGATCCCCTTCAAAGCCATCATGGCACCTACAAAATTATGTTACATTACAAAAATGCATTGATAAAATAGCATAGAGGTTGCAAAATATAACATTTCTCAATTTTATGGGGAAATACTGACAAGAATAAAATTTTTAAAAAATACACACACTATAAAAATCTTTATTGGCAAAACTATGCATTGATACACTGAACTAAATACCGTCAAAATATGTTTTTTACTTCCCTTAGATTATGCCAGCATATGTAAATATGAAATATACACATGCAAGTACAAAAGAAACATGTTTGGGCAATTTTAAAGAAACTGGAATACAAAAAAAGAGAATATAATATAACACAACATTGTGTAATATTCACCAGAAATATAGGCTCAAGTAAAACAAACTAATGAAGGTAATAAAGTGCAACAGCATATTGTATTTTATTCTTCTTTCAAGATATTGGAGTTCTGAGCAGAATTATAGCACCTAACACATGAACTGGTTTAGCAAATATTCATTATAATGAAATATAATGATGGTAGTTGCTATAACCAAAGAGAAATTACTCTTCTTTTTAAATTCTGTGATGTTGGTAATTTTGGGAGAGTCAGCTTTATCATCAAAATTACTTTTGGTAATCAAATAACTAAGCAAAATTATTTTTTGGAAATCCTTTGTCTAAAATCCAATGTAGAAACCACCTAAAATCAAATTACTCTTGAAATTTCTAGAAAGCTGCCATGTTGAAGACTTACATGTTTTTCTTGGACACTTGAAATAACTCACCCAAGTTTCCCTTATCGTTGAAAGACATGGCCCTTTAGTTCTGTCTTGCAACAGCTGAAGTAGTTACATTTGCAGGTTCTCTGTGGTATCAAAAAAATAAAAAAATAAAATGTCATTAAATTTTAGAATCACATTCAGCATTATGAGAGAAATATCCAATTCTGTGTGCAAAGGTTCTGGGCCTGAGGAAGTAAACCAACACAATTTCAAGCTCACATTTGGGTAAAAACTCAGTGATTACTCTGGAGAAATGTCCAGGTTATTTGCTATTTTCTATCCTTCAAGGTGTTCCACCTGCCTCTTTTCTAAATCCTTATATATAAAGAAAAGAATATTAAATATAGTTACATTCATTGCACTTGTGATGTAATTTCAAAAATAACACTCACAGAGAAGCAGCAAGATAGTGGGATAGAAAGGTCTACCAATCATCTCCCCCAGGAAGGACACCAATTTAACAACTATATACACACAAAAAGAACACCTTCATAAGAACAGAAAATTAGTTGAGCCCTCCTAGTATCTGTTTTAACTTCTTTCTCTGAAAGAGGCACTGAAGAGGTAGAAAAAAACAGTCTTGAAGCTGGATGCCACCCTTTCCCCATCCTTGGGCAGTGGCAACATGGTGCTGAGTGTCTCTGGCACTGGAGGAGGGAGAATACAGCAATTGTGAGTTATTGAACTCAGAGCATAAAGGAAAACTAGACCAAACTAAACTGGGGCCCACACACTAAGGGAGCATGTAAACCCTCCCTAGCCAGAGCAGAATCATAGATCCCAGCAGTCAGAACTTGAGTTCCCACAGACCTTGCCACCAAGGGCTAAAGTTCTCTTGGTCTCGAAGTAGACTTGAAAGGCAGTCTGGGTCATAAGGATTGCAACTCTTAGGTGAGTCCTAGGCCTGAAGTGGGCTCAGAGGCAGTGGACTTGGGGTCATGGGACCAACTGAGACACCAGCTCGGGTAGCTAAGAGAGTACTGACATCAACCCTTCCCTACTCTTGGACTGCACAGCTTGTGGTTCCAAAAAAGATCCCTTATTTCCACTTGATGAGAGCAGAGGAAAGAAAGTGTGAAGGACTTTGTCCTACATCTTGGATACAGCTCAGCCACAGAAGGATAAGGCACTGGACGAAATTGTGAGACTCCCATTCTAGGACCCAGCTCCTGGACAACATTTCTAGACACACCCTGGGGTAGAAGGAAACCTGGCACCTTGAAAGGAAAGACCATTCCTGACAGCATTCATCACTTGCTAACTGAAGAGCCCTTGGGCCCCCACAAAACCAGCAGCAATGCCCAGGTACTATGCTGAGGGACTTTGGTAAGCCTCTGAGATTTATTGGCTTCAGTTAAGACTCATCGCATTCCCAACTGTGGTGGCTATGGGGTGAAAATCCCTCTGCTTGACAAAAGCAGAGGATAAAGTAAAGGGGACTTTGTCTTGCACTTCAGGTACCAGCTCAGCCACAGAGAAGTAGATAACTAAGTGGGCTCTTGGGGTTCCCAGTTTCAAGTCAGGACTCACAGATGGCATTTGTGGATGTGCCTTGGACCAGAGGGGAACTCATTGACATAAAAGGTGAGTCCTAGGCTAGGCAGCATTCATAAGCTGAATTAAGAGCCCTTGGTCCTTAAGGAAGCATTGGCAGTAGTCTGGCAGTACTCCCTGTGGCCTGTGGTGGTGGTGGATATGGGGTGAGGCTGCTCTGCCTTTGCGGAAAGAAAAGAGTGAGAAGGATTGTGTCTTGTGGTGTGTGTGTCAGCTCAGCTGCAGTACAATAGAACACTAGGTAGATTTCTAAGGCTTTTGACTCCAGTCCTTGACTCCCAGATGGCACCTCTGCACCCAAATGAGGCCTGGGAGAAATCACCCCCTGAAGGGATGGACACAGGCCTGACTGGCTTTGCCACCTGCTGACTGTAGAGCCCCAGGGTCTCGAGCAAACATAAGCCGTAGGCATGGAGTGGTTACAGCAGGTCTTGGGTGAGACCCAGTGTTATGCTAGCTTCAGGTCTGACCCAGGAAAGGCATACTGGTGGTGACCACAGGGCTGCTGTGTCACTCCACCTTCAGCTTTAGGTGGCGCTGAACAGAGAGAGAGAAACTGTTTGAGAGAAAGTAAGGGAAGAGAACAAGAGTCTCTGCCTGGTAATCCAGATAATTCTCTTGGATCTTATCTAAGACCGTCAAGGAGGTACCTCTATGAGCCTGCAAGAACCACAGTGTTACTGGGCTTGGGCACTCCCTAAAGCAGATACAGCTTAGATCTCAACACTCAAGTCCTTTCAAATACTGGAAAGCCTTCCTAAGAAAGCCAGGTATAAACAAGCCCAGATGTTGAAGACTATAATAAGTACCCACCTTTTCGATGCCCAGACACCAATGAGTATCCACAAGCATCAATACCATTGAGGAAAACGTGACTTCACCAAATGAAATAGGTAAGTTACCAGGGACCAATTCTGGAAAAAAACAGAGATATGTGACATTTCAGGCAGGGAATTCAAAATAGCTGTGTAGAGTAAACTCAAAGAAATTCAAGATAACACAGGAAAGGAATTCAAAATTCTATCAGATAAATTTAAATTTAACAAAGAGATTGAAATCATTAAACAAAATCAAGCAGAAATTTTGGAGCTGAAAAATGCAATTGACATACTAAAGAATATATCAAAGTATTTTAATAACGGAATTGATCAAGTAGAGAAAATAGTGAGCTTAAAGAAAGGCTATTTTAAAATACACAGTCAAAGAAAGCAAAGAAAAAAGATTTAAAAACAATTAAGCACACCTATGGGATCTAGAAAATAGCATCCAAAGGGCCAATGTAAGAACTATTGGCCTTAAAAAGAAGGTAAAGAAAGAGGTAGGGCTACAAAAATATTCAAAGGAATAATAATAGCAGTGAACTTCCCAAATCTAGAGAAAGATATCAGTATCCAAGTAAAAGAAGGTTATGAACACCAAGCAGATTTAATCCAAAGAAGACTACATTAAGTCACTTAATAATCAAACTTCCAAAGACAAAGGATAAAGAAAGGATTCTAAAAGCAGGAAGAGAAAAATCAAAAACAAAAATAAAAGCAAATAATTTACAATGGACCACCAACATGTCTGGCAGCAGATTTTCCAGTGGAAAACTTACAGGCCAGGATAAAGTGTCATAACATATTTAAAGTGCTGCAGTACAAAGAAACTTTTATGTTGGAATAGTGTAGCCAGTGAAAATATCCCTCAGATATGAAAGAGAAATAAAAAGCTTCCTAGACAAACAAAAGCTCAGGGGTTTCACCAACACCAGACCTATTCTGCAAGAAATGTGAAAGGGAGTACAACAATCAGAAAGAAAAGGATGTTAACTGAGCAATAAGTAATCATCTGAAGGTACAAAACTCACTGGTAATAGTCAGTACACAGAATTTTATAACATTGTAACTGTGGTGTGTAAACTACTCTTTTACTAAGTAGAAAAACTAAGCAATAAGCCAATCAAAAATAATAACTGCAATAATGTTTCATGGCATGGAGAGTACAAGAAGATATACATAGAAACAAAAAAAGAGTTAAAAAGAAGCAGAAGAACTATGTTAAGGCATAGAGTTTTTATAATTTTTTTGCTTGTTTGTTCATGCAAAAAGTCTTTAATTGTTATTAGCTTAAAATAATAGGGTATAAGATAGTATTTGCAAGCCTCATGGTAACCTCAAACCAAAAAAACATACAATGGATTCAAAAACAATAATAAGCAAGAAAATAAATCATAATCACCAGATAAAATTACCTTCACTAATAATACAAAAAGGAAAGAAAACAGAAAGAGAAGACCACGAATGTCCAGAAAATAAATAACAAAATGGCAGGCGTAAGTCTGTACTTATCAGTAATAACATTGAATGTAAATGGACTAAATTCTCCAATAAAAAGACAAAGAATGGCCAAATGAATGAATAAACAGGGCCCATTGATCGATTGCCTACAAAAACACAGATCATCAATAAAGACACACATAGACTGAAAATAAAGGGATGGAAAAAGATATTCCAAGTCCATAGAAACTGAAAAAGAGCAAGAGTAGTTATACACATATAAGACAAAATAGATTATAAGACAAAAACTATAAGAAGAGACAAAGAAGGTCACTATATATTGATAAAGGGATCAATTCAGCAAAATGATATAACAATTTTAAATATATATATGCAACCAACACTGTAGCACCTAGATATACAAAGCAAATATTATTAGAGGAAAAAGGAGAGATAAATGCCAATACAATAACAGCCGTAGATTTCAACAGCCTACTTTTAGAATTGGACAATGTTTCTTTGGTGATTTCCTGGAAAATCTGTCCAATTCTAAAAGTAGGCTGTTGAAATCACTATAGACCAAAAGTATCTAATAGATATGTACAGAAGTTTTTATTCAAGAGCTGCAGAATACACATTCTTTTCCTCAGCATATATAAATCATTCTCAAGGATAGACCCTATGTTAAGTCACAAAACATGTCTTAAAACATTCAAAAACTGAAATAATATCAAGCATTTGTTTCTGACCACAATAGAATAAAACTAGAGATGAATAACATGAAGAATTTTGGAAAGTATACAAATACATGGAAATTAGACAAAATACTCCTGAATGACCAATGTTTCAATGAACAACTTAAGAAAATTAAAAACAGTTCTTGAAACAAATGATAAGGCATTTAACAGTTAGACTTCCAGAGACCAAGGATTTAAAAAAAAAAAAAGATTTCTAAAAGCAGCAACAGGAACAAATACAATGGAGCTCCATACGATGGATACATACTGTACAAAAAACTAGGGGTTACTGCAAAAGCAGTACTAAGAAGAAAGTTTACAGATAGCAGTGCCTAAAATAAAAAGGAAGAAAAACTTCAAATAAACAATGTAATGATACATCTTAAATAAATAGAAAAGTGAGAGCCACAACCAGTGGTAAGGTCCCTTCCTCTGCTGCCTCCAACTTGGACGGGGAACATAAACACTGAGCTCACCCCAGAGCTAAGATGAGCAGGCTGAGAGTGCTAAGCCACGATCTACAGCCAGCACTCAAGTGGGAGAGGAGCCCATACTTTTAGAGCATTGTGAGGGAGCATGATTGCAAATGCAAAAAAATATAGGGGAGCCACCACTAATTAAGAACCTACCTACTGACCACTACACCTAAGCACCAACTACTGGATCACACTCCAAAGCTTCGACAACACCAAAATAACCTTGCTAACACACCCCCTTGTGAAATCAAAGACAAGAAGTCAGCTACAAATAAAAACCCTTCACTAAGCCTCAGCTCTGTGAAAATATCCAGAAAAGAAGTCTACTAACTATACTCAATCTACACTGCAGTTAAAGGAACTCCCACACACAGAGATGACAAAGAACCAATGCAAGAACTCAGGCAACACAAATGGCCAGTGTCTTATGTTCTCCCAAAGACCCCTTTAGGTTTTCAAAAAGTGTTCTTAAGAAGGCTAAGTTTGCTGAAATGACAGAAATGAAATTCAGATTATGGATAGGAATGAAGATCATTGAGATTCAGGTGAATGACAATACCCAAATAAAGGAAACTAAGAATCACACACACACAAAAATACAGGAGCCGACTGATGAAATAGCCAGTATAAAGAAAGAACCTAACTCACCTGATAGATCTGAAAAATACACTGCAAGTATTTCACAATGCAATGGCAAGTATTAATAGCAGAACAGACCAAGTTGTGGAAAGAAAGTTTGAACTTAAAGACTCATTCTCTGAAATAAGACAGTCAGACAAAAATAAACATAAAAGAGTGAAAAGGAATGAACAAAACCTCTGCAAAATACGGGATTATGTAGAGAGACCAAATCTACGAATCATTGGCATCTCTGAAAGAGACAGGGAGAAAGCAAACAAGTTGGAAAACATATTTCAGGATATTGTTCATGAAAACTTCCCCAACCTCACTAGAGAGGCCAACAGTCAAATTCAGAAAATATGAAGAACCCCTGAAAGAATCTACACAAGAAGATAATCCCCAAGACGCATAATCATGAGGTTCTCCAAAATCAAAATGGAGGAAAATATGTTAAAAGCGTCCAGAGAGACAGATCAGGTCACCTATATGCTAACAGCAGGCTTCTCAGCAGAAACCTGTTATGCTAACAGCAGGCTTCTCAGCAGAAACCTGTTATGCTAACAGCAGGCTTCTCAGCAGAAACCCTATAATCCAGAGACCATTACCAGCCACTACAAAAACACAGTTAAGTACACAGACCAGTGAAACTATAAAACAACCACATAAACGGGTCTGCATAACAACCAGCTAACATCATGATGACAGGATCAAATTTACACATATCAATACTAATCATAAATGTAAACGGGTTAAATGCCCATTTAAAAGGCACAGAATGGCAAGCTGAATAAATAACCAAGACCCAATGATATAATATCTTCAAGAGATCCATCTCATGTGCAAAGACACTCACAGACTCAAAACAAAAAGATGGAGAAAAATCTACCAAGCAAATGGACAACAGAGAAAAAACAGATGTTGAAATCCTAATTTCAGACAAGACAGATTTTAAACCAACAAAGATCAAAAAATATAAAGAAGGGCATTACATAATAATAAAGGGTTTAATTCAACAAGAAGATGTAACTATCCTAAATATATATTCAGCCAACACAGGAGCGCCCAGAATCATAAAGCAACGACTTAAAGACCTTCAAAGAGACTTAGACTCCCACACAATAATAGTGGGAGATGTCAACACCCCACTTTACAGTATTGGAAAGATCACCAAAGCAGAAAATTAATAAAGATATTCAAGTCCTGAACTCATCACTGGATCAAATGGACCTGGTAAACATCTACAGAACTCTCCACCCAAAACAACAGAATATACCTTCTTTTCATTACCACTTAGCACATACTCTAAAAATGACCGCATAATTGGACATCAATCAGTCCTTAGCAAATGCAAAATAACTGAAATAATCGCAAACACTCTCTTCGGCCACAGCACAATATAATTAGATATCAAGACTAAGAAAACTGCTCAAAATCATACTATTTTACAGAAATTAAACAACCTGCTGCTGAATGACTTTTGAATAAATAATAAAATTAAGGCAAAAAGCAAGAAATTCCTTGAAATTAATGAGAACAAAAATACAACAAAGACACAATAGAATCTCTGGGACACAGCCAAGGAAGTGTTAAAAAGGAAATTTACAGCACCAAATGCCCACATGAAAAAGTTAGAATGATCTCAATTTACCAACCTCACATTACATCTAAAAGAACTAGAGAACCAAGAGCAAATCAACCCCAAAACTAGCATCAGACAAGAAATAACCAAAATAAAAGCTGAACTAAAGGAGATCAAGACATAAAAAAATTCAAAAGATGGATGAATATAGGAGGTAGTTTTGTGAAAAAATTAATAAGATAGATAGACCATTAGCTACATTTATAAAGAAGAAAAGAGAGATGATCCAAATAAGCACAATTATAAATGACAAAGGGAGTATTACAACTGATCCCACAGAAATAGATAATATTATGAATACCTGGCCGGGCGCGGTGGCTCACGCCTGTAATCCCAGCACTTTGGGAGGCCGAGGCGGGTGGATCCACGAGGTCAGGAGATCGAGACCATCCCGGCTAAAACGGTGAAACCCCGTCTGTACTAAAAATACAAAAAATTAGCCGGGCGTAGTGGCGGGCGCCTGTAGTCCCAGCTACTTGGGAGGCTGAGGCAGGAGAATGGCGTGAACCCGGGAGGCAGAGCTTGCAGTGAGCCGAGATCCCGCCACTGCACTCCAGCCTGGGCGACAGAGCGAGACTCCGTCTCAAAAAAAAAAAAAAAAAAAAAAAAAAATTATGAATACCTCTATGTACACAAACTAGAAGATCTAGAAGAAATAAATAAATTCCTGGACACATACACCCTTTCAAGACTTAACAAGGAAGAAATTAATTCCTTAAACACACCAATAACAAGCTTCCAAATTGAGTCAGTAATAAATAGCCTACCAACAAAATTAAAACCTCAAGAGCATATGGATTCAGCGCCAAATTCTACTTTTAAAAAGAAGCTCTAGTACCATTCCTACTAAAACTATTCCAAAAAATTGAAGAGAAGTGACTCCTCCTAAACTCATTCTATGAGGCTAGCATCATCATGATAGCAAAACCTGGAGTAGACACAACAAAAACGAAAACTTCAGGCCAATATCCTTGATGAATATCAATCCAAAAATCCTCAACAACAACAAAATACTCAAAACTGAATCCAGCATCACATCCAAAATCTTATCCATTATTATTAAATAGGCTTTAACCCTGGGATGCAAGTTTGGTTCAACATACGTAAATCGATAAATGTGATTCATCACATAAACAGAACTAAAAACAAACATCACATGATAGTCTTAGTCTTACCAGGTACAGAAAAGGCTTTTGATAAAATTCAATAAGTCCTCATGTTAAAAACTCCTAATAAACTAGGTATTAAAGGAACAGACCTCAAAATAATAAGATCCATCTGTGACAAACCTACAGCCATAATCATAATAAATGGGTAAAAGATGGAAGCACTCCCTTTGAAAACAGACACAAAAATGCCCTCTCTCACTATTCCTGTTCAACATAGTATTAGAAGACCTGGCCAGAACAATTAGGCAAGTAAAAGAAATAAAGGGCATTCAAATAGAAATAGAGGAAGTCAGACTATTCCTGTTTACAAACGACATAATTCTTTATCAAGAAAATCACATAGTCTTGACCTAAAATCTCCTTAAGCTGATAAACAGCTTCAGCAAATTCTCAGGATACAAAATCAACATACAAAATTGTCTAGCCTTCCTATACACCAATAATAGACAAGCTGAAATCCAAATCAGGAATGCAATCCCATTTACAACTGCCACAAAAATAATAAAATACCTAGAAATAGAGCTAACCAGGAAGGTGAAAGATCTCTATAAGGAGAACTATAAAACACTGCTCAAAAAAATCAGAAATGACACAAACAAATGAAAAAATATTCCATGCTCAGAACAGAAAGAATGACTGTCATTAAAATGGCCATTACTTCCCAAAGCAGTTTATTTCAGTTTCATATCTATCAAACTAATAATGGCATTCTTCACAAAACTAGAAAAAAACTACTTTAAAATTTATATGGAACCAAACGAACCCTAATAGCTAAGGCAATCCAAAGCAAGAATAACAAAGCTAGAGGCATCATGCTACTGGACTTCAAACTATGCTATATAGATTTTAAAGCAGTTTTTTTCTAGTTTGAAAAAAAAATATCGACACCATTATATTGTGGTAAAGGACATGAGCAGACACTTTCCAAAAGAAGACATACAAGCAGACAACAAGCACATGAAGAAAAGCTCAGCATCACTGATCATTAGAAAAATGCCAATAAAAACCACAATGAGATACCATCACACATCAGTAAGAATGGCTATTACTAAACAGCCAAAAAAAAAAAAAAAAACACTGACACTGCAAGCTCTTGCAGAGAAAAATAAACACGTATACACTATTTGTGAGAGTGTAAATTAGTTCAACAATTGTGGAAAGCAGTGTGGCAATTCCTCGAAGAGCTAAAAACAGAACTACTATTCAACCCAGCAATCCCATTACTGGGTATATATCTAAAGGAATATAAATTATTTTATTATGAAGAGACATGCATGAGTATGTTCATTGCAGCACTATTCACAGTAGCAAAGACATGAAATCAACCCAAATGCCTATCAATAGTAGACTGGATTAAAATAAAAATGTTGTACATATACACCATGGAACACTATACAGCCATAAAAAGAATGAGATTATGACCTCTGCAGGAACATAGATAGAGCTGGAGGCCATTATCCTTAGCAAACTAACATAGTAATAGAAAACCAAATACTGCATGTTCTCACTTATAAGTGGGAGCTGAATGATGAGAACACATGGACACACTGGGGCCTACCTGAGGATAAAGGGTGGGAGGAGGGAGAGGATCAGAAAAATAACTAATGGATAGTAGGCTTAACACCTGGGTGAAAAAGTAATCTGTACAAAAAACCCTGTGACACAAGTTTACCTATATAACAAACCGCATACGTACCCTTGAACTTAAAATAAAAGTTAAAAAATATAAAATGTGGTACATACATACAATGGAGTACTATTCAGCCATAAAAAGATGAAATTCTGTCATTTAAAACAGCATGTATGGAAATGGAGATCATTATATTAAGTGAAATAAGTGAGACACAGTAAGATAAACATCACATGTTCTCCTTTATTTGTGGGATCTAAGAATCAAAACGATTGAACTCATGTATATAGAGAATAGAAGGATGGTTATCAGAAGCTGGGAAGGAGAGTGGTTGGGTGGATAGGGGACATGAGGATAATGAGTACAAAAGTAATGAAGATAAGACCTACTATTTGATAGTACAATAGGGTGACTATAGTCAATAATAACTTAATTGCACATTTTAAAATAACTTAAAAAGCATAAGTGGCTTGTTTATAATACAAAGGATAAATGCTTGAGCGGATGGATACCCCATTCTCCATGGCATAATTATAATTACTGCACGCCTGTATCAAAACATCTCATGTACCCCATAAACATATGCACCTACTATGTATCCACAAAAATTAAAAACCAAAAATTTATTAAAAAGCATGCCAATATCAAAACATCTCATGTACCCTATAAATATATATACTTACTATGTAGCCACAAAAAATAAAAAAAATTAAAAAGCACTCACAATATTTTGCCATTACATTATTTTTTTATTTCCAAAAATGTTTGATTGTTCTCTTTCACAGAAATTTGAGTGTGTCTTTTCTCCCTAAATTGACTTTTATTATGGCTTTCAATAAGTTTCAAAGAAAGCAGTTTGTTTCCATCTTTGATATCCTAATAAATCATGACTTATTAAGGTGTTGGAGGAGATTAGACTGTTTCTCAAAGAGATTATGTTTTTTTTTCCTCGATTAAAGATGTGTAAAAATGACTTCACTTACACTTGGTATAATATAATTTATCTTCAAGATGTCACATTGCATATGGACTTATTCAAATTTGTTTCTTTTAACAATATAGCATTGGATATGATCCTTTTTTGTACTAGAGGGATTTACAGTAGCACTTTCTACTTGCTTTGCACTTGTAAAGTATTAAAATTCATCTTTTACTGTGTAACTTATATATTTTATATGTTATTCCATAAAATTATTTTTGTATAAGAGATATAAAATAAAATCTGATCAAGTTTGAATTAAAGGTCATATAAAAATCCACTAATATTACAGATAGAGGCATGTGGTAGCTTGGAAACATTTTAAATTTTGGTACCAATTCTTAGAATTCGATATTATTCACAGCTTGTGATCCTGATATATACTTTTTTGATGAAAGCATTGGGTAAGGGACTGTGATCCTCCTGCCATGCTTCTCCTCCTGGTAACCGTCCAACAATACTGCTGCTCCAAGTGGTGTCTTGTTTTCCCTTAAAATGATTTTGGTATGGTGTTGAAGAGCAAGGGGACTTCTCTTGCTCCCTAAATTGACTTTTATTTATAAGGGTTAATTTTTCTTTGGATCGGGGGTCAGGAACTAAAACTTGGTAGATGAGAAGGAATGAAGAGAGCTGAGAAGAAAGCATCCTGATCTATGGAACCAGGACCAAAGAAGACAGTCTGTGTGCAGAACAGAAAAGCAAAGTGGTTAGAAAATAGCAATAATAGAGAAAGGTTGAAAATATGGAGGGTTTTGCAAGTCCTAATTTTATTAGATAGTTGGAAGGCTTTTTTTAAAGACTACCTTACTGGAGAGTTTCCTCATTTATAAGTTGAGAATTATGCTATTCTCTATTTCGCAAGTTACTATAGTAATAGTTAATGGCTATATACTACTTGTGCCAGTTACTGTGTCAAAATGTGTTAACTTTCAAATATCTTTTAATATAGATACTATCACCTCCATTTTATAGATAACAATGTTGAAGCAGAGAAAGTTTAAGTAAATTATCCAAGTCATGCACTTTGGACATGCATGCACTCTTTAAATGCATTTAACTAGAACAGAATTTAACTTAGGTGATAACTCCAGTCTCTGTGCTCTTAACCACACATACGCTACACTCTGTTACAGGAATTAAATGAGATTATGTATGTGATGAAGGAACCTCAGTAACCTGATTTTGTGTGTGTGTAGTCTGCTCTAAAATCAATGCCCTCCATTGCAAGTCTTAAATATTTTGAGCCCTGTACAATAATCTTTTTTAACCATGCTGTAAATGCTATGCCTTTGTTTTCCTTTCCCTGCCTCTATTATCTCTAGCATTTCAGAAATGTACACAAAGTTGCCTTTTCCCCAAGCTAAGCACCCCACTCTTTTTCTCCATCATTAAACCATAAAATAAAATAAAATAATAGGACATTTATAAATATCCTTAGTTTCCTATCTGTTGGGATTAATAGTGTGTATCCCTACCTAACATAAGGTGAACCATTTCATAATCTAAGATCTTTTAAATAATTTTTATGACTAGATTTTCTTGATCAATCATATTTATGAACCTATTGTGCAATCATTTGCTTATTGAATGACATTACAAGAGTTTATAAAGAGTGAAAAAATGCATATCAATTGACTTCGACAGTGGAATAGAAGGTACATCACGAGTTACAGTATGTCAAGAATGTATGCATCTTCAAATAATCTAAGAAGTTATAAATGTATGGTTGTGTGTTTACTAATAAGCTGCTAGAGCTTTTTTTAAAAAAAAAAAACTTTGAATCAGACTCTAAATTATCAACAAAGTGCAGTTATTAAAAAGTTTTATTTCTTTAGATCTATTTCTATGAAAATTAAGCACAGGAGAAACTAGAATATTTTTTCTTGTTTAAATTTTGTTCTCTATCAACTGTTTATTGCTAAGAGTGTTAGTGATTCAGAAGTGTCTTCAGTTTTTTGGAATATAAAATTATTTTCCCTTTTGCTGACATTGTTTTAAAAATGTGTCTTGGTATGATAGTAACTGGAGTTTCCGTCAAACAGGTTGAATTTAAATTTAAAGAAAAGATAGATTATGCAAGGGAGTAAGCCATCCTGCTCAAAAGAGACATGCCTAGGTACTTGGAAATCTATGAAGTTTTGATGTTTTTTTTAAAAAAATAATATTTTTGCTTCCAATCTAGAATACATTGGAAAGAAGTTAATATTGTTACTTTGGCTCTAACCTAATTCCTGACTAAGACAAAAACACATGACCTGTTCTACTGCTGAAGTAATAAATCAAAATACCCATGCTTTTTGTAACAACTGCCTATCATTCTACCAGTTTACTGAATTACTCTGAATAAATCATTCATTTTACTTCATGTATATCTACAAACCATTTTACTTTCTGTAAATCTATAACTCCTGTCACTTATTTTTTGTCTCAATGTATGTTGCATGATCCAACAATTCTTGCCAGTAGCCTGGGATTTATCCTGGCTTCATTGGTTTCTGCCTCCAAGCAACGGGACCCCAGTGTCTGCCTATTTATAATATTGTACAATATACTACTAGTATTCAACTAAAGATCCTTATACTCCATGACAATTCCCAGAGTTCAGGCATTTAAATGAGGCCTTGTGACTAATCCTTGCAAATAAAACGTAGAACTAATATATAACTTCCATGTTGAGGTTTTAACAGGGAATGGCCTTCTCCATTCTCCTTCTCTCCCTCTTTCTAATCCCCTGCTCATTGTCTCTTTCTTTTCTCAGCCCTTAATGAGGCTATGGGGTGGGAAGGACTCTGAGATGTTGGATTTACAATAAAGGAGTAACTGAGATTCCTGATTCATTTGGAGGAGAATATTGCAGTTGATTGTTACATAAAATGAGAAATAAATAGTATTTTCTTCTTGGATGTAACTCAGTAAGTCTTATTGAAGCTTTTGGAAAATTGAAAACACCTTCTTTGGTTGTGTCTTACAACTTTCAAAATATAATATTTTCATTTTTGTTTAGTTCTAAATATGATGTAATGTATGTCATATGTAATGTAAATATGATTTCTTATTTGACATGTACATAAATTATTTGAAATAGAACATTTTAGTTTTCAAATGTATTTTTAAAAATATATTTGTATTATTCATTTCTAGTTAAATAGGACCGTGGCTTGATAATATGGTTTATGATACTGTGACTTTAGAAAATGTTCTGTGTGTTGAAAATAATTATATATTATTGTCTTGCTATTAGCAGAGTTCTAGATATCTATTTCTTTTTGTCAGTTTTGATATATTATACAGTGAGAACAAACAAATAATCCTAGTCATTTCTGACAGCAAATGTTTATTTAGTGTTCATGTTCTACATGTCAAATACGTCTCTGCTCTGAGTGTTCTTCTTGCCAGCATCCAGGCGACAGGAGCAACCCCTAAGACACAACACTGCCATTCTTTTGAAAGAGTGAAGATGGCAATGTTGGAAGCATGCAAAGGCTCTTATTTTATGCCTAGATATTGCTGACTACATTTATTTTCACAATTCTTTGACCAAAGCAAAGCACATCACCAAGTCAGATGTCCACAGGGAAGAGAATTCTACTATCTACTCTTACAGGGAATAAGAGTAGATAATTGGGGAAAATAATATAATCTACCAAAATCTTATAAAGAAAGCTTTTTATTTACATTTTCTATATCTAATACTGTTTTGTCCTTTTGATCAATAGATTTCTTTTTCTCTTCTTCTTTTTAATATTTTTAAAGTTTGTGTACATTTAAAGAGTACAGGGGCAGTTTTTTTACGTGGTTATATTGACTAGTGGTGAAGTTGTGCTTTAATGTGACTATCACCTGAATAGTATACACTATATCCAATAGGTAATTCCTCATCCCTTGCTCAACTCCCAACCCCTCACCCTTCTGAGTTTTCATTATGTATTTTTCCACATTCTATTTCCATGTGTACACATTATTTAGCTCCCACTTATAAGTGAGAACATGCGCTCACTTTGATTTTGTTTCTGAGTTGTTTCATTTAAGATAAAGGCCTCCAGTTCCATCCATGCTGCTGCAAGAGACACAATTTCATTCTTTTCTATGACTTAATAGTAATCCATTGTGTGCGTGTATATATATATGTGTGTGTGTATATATATGTGTGTGTGTATATATATATGTGTGTATATATACATATATGTCACATTTCTTTATCCATTTATGGACACTTAGGTTCATTACGTACATTTGCTATTTATTTTCCTCTGGGTAGACATCAATGGATATCCAGTTATTCACTGATGAATACTAACATTGATTATATACATTTGCAACTGTGAATAATGCTGCAATAAACGGTCAAATATAGGTATATTTTTGATATAATGATTTTCCTTTGGGTAGATACCCAGTAATCCCGTGGGATTGCTGGATTGAATCATAACTCTAATCTTAGTTCTTTAAGAAATCTCCATACTGTTTTCCATGGAGGTTGTACTAATTTACATTATCATCAACAATGCATAAAAGTTTCCTTTTCTTCACAACATCCCCAACATCTGTTATTTTTTTGACTTTTTAATAATAGCCATTCTGACTGGTGTAAGGTAACTCCTTGTATTTTAATTTGCATTTCTCTGATGATTAGTGATGTTTAACAGGTTTTTTTTTTCATATTTGCTGGGCACTCTCACATCTTTTGAAAAAAAAAAGTCTACTCATTTCCTTTGCTCATTTTTAATGGCATTATTTATTTATTTATTTTGTTGAGTTCTTTGTAGGTTCTGGATCTTATTTCACTGCATAGTTTGCAAATATTTTCTTCCACTCTGAAGGTTGCCTGCTCACTCTGTTGATTATTTCTTTTTCTGTGTGAAAGCTTTTTACTATGATTGAGTCCCATTTGCCTACTTTTGTTTTTGTTGCTTTCTGCTTTTAAGGTCTCAGTCATGAAGTCTTTACCTAGACCCTAGTGCACAGAAGAGTATAGGGATGTTTTATAATAACCACTATATTTGTGAATATGACAATATGTTATATTGATTCTATCATTTTTATTTATAATTCAGGACTATATTATTAGCTTTATTCCAGTTAATATTTGCTATATTTTCTAAGTAGAATTGTTTATTTTATCAGCATAGAGACCCTATAACCTCTAGGTAAGCTTTTGGCCATAGATATCTTGGATAATAATATTAACTTGAAATAATATGAATAATGATAGCCAATGTTTTAAAAATGTTGGTATTTACTTGGTTTCTTAGTTTAAGCTGCTACAATAAAAATGCGAGCGACTTGGTGGTTTAAACAATGAACATTTATTTCTCACAGTTCTGGAGGCTGGGATGTCCATGATCAAGGGCTGGCAGATCTGGTGACTCTTGAGGGTGTTCTTCCTTGCTTATAGGCAGCCACCTTCTCACTGTTTGCTCATGTCAGGGAGAAAGATCATCTCTATCCTATTTTGTACTGTAAGTGTACTAAAGACTCCAGCCTCAGGGCCTAATTACCTCCCAAAGGCCCCATTTCTAATACCTTTATACTGGGGATTAAGCTTCAACATGTGAATTTTGTTAAAACGCTTCCAGTCCATAGCATTTGATATGCATTTTCCATCTCTTTAATTTCAATTTCAATGAATGGCATTTAAAAGATAATGTCTTTTGCCAGCCATGCTGGTTCATGCCTGTAAGTCCAGCAATTTGGGAGGCTGAGGTGGGAGTATCACTTGAGGTTAGGCGTCATATGACCAGTATATACATTTGTAATAATCACATCAGGGTAAATGGAGTATTCACAACCTCAATCATTTATCTTTTTTTAATATTACAAACATCCCAATTATACTCTTTTGTTTATTTTTAAATGTAAAATAATTTATTGTTTACTGAAGTCACACTGTTGTGCTATCAAATGCTAGATCTTATTCATTCTATCTAACTATATTCTTGTACCTATTACTATCTCCATTCTCCCCTGCCTCCAATACCCTTCTAGTATCTGTCTCTATTAGTTTAATTGTTTTAATTTTTAGCTACCACAAATACATGAGAACACGTGAAGTTTGTCTTTCTGTGCTTGCCTTATTTCACTTAACATAATGTCCTCCAGTTTCACCCATGTTGCTGCAAATAAAATGATCTTATGCTTTTGTGTGTGTGTGTATACGTATCACATTTTCATTTTTTTGGTGTGTATGTACCACATGTTCTTTATCCATTCATCTATTAGTGGACTCGTAGATTGCTTCTAAATCTTGGCTAGTGTGAATAGTGCTGCAATAAACGTAGGAGTGCAGATGTCCTTTGATATACTGATTTCCTTTCTTTTGCATTTATATCTAGCAGTGAGATTGCTGGATCATACGGTAGCTCTATCTTTAGTTTTTTGAGGAACCTCTATACTGTTATCCATAGTAGCTGTACTAACTTATATTACAAGGTTTCATTTTTTTCTATATCCTTGCCAACATTTGTTATTATCTGTCTTTTGAATAAAAACCACTTAAACTGGAGTGAGATGATATCTCATTGTAGTTTTGATTTGCATTTCTCTGGTCAGCAATATTGAGCAACTTTTCATATACCCATTTGTCATTTGTATGCCTTCTTTTGAGAATTGTCTATTCAGGTCTTTTGCTCAATTTAAGTCAGATTATTAGATTTTTCCCTATTGAGCAATTTGAGCTCTTTTCATATTCTGGTTATTAATCTCTTGCCAGATGAATAGTGTGAAAATACTTTTACCCATTTTGTTGTTGATTGTTTCCTATGCTGTGCAGAAACTTTTTAACTTGATATGACACGATTTGTCCATTCTTGCTTTGGTTGTCTGTGCTTGTGGGGTATTACTCAAGATGTCATTGCTCAGACCATTGTCCTGGAGAGTTTCGCTGATATTTTCTTTTATTAGTTTCATAGTTAGTTGAAGGTCTTATATTTCATCATTTTATCTATTTGATTTGATTTTTGTATATGGTAACAGAGAGATGTCTAATTTCACTCTTCTGCATATGACTATCCAGTTTACCCGGCATCATTTATTGAAGAGACAATGCTTTCCCCAATACTTCATTTTTAATAGTTGATTTTAATATATTTACATATTCTGTGATCACTTACTTATATGAATTATTTCTTTCACTTCTTTAAATTTAAAATTTGCTATGTTTTTCTCTGTTGAATTTAATTCTGTCTTCTCCCAATATTTATTGGTTGAATTTTTTTTCTTTTAAAAGCTTTTCATTTCTCTGACGTTTTGGAATTTCTACATTGTACTTCTGCACCTTCAATGACCATAAACTTTAAATAAACATGCACATAACTGTTATTTTCTTTAAAAAGTAAAAATTATTTGGTATCTGTGTTATCCAGCTAACTTAGATTAAAAACATTAGCACGCTAAAATTAAAGGTCTGGAAAATTTGTTATCTCAACAAAATAACTTTTGGTTCCATTGAGTTTCACTATTCTTCTCTATTTTCTATTTTTTTAAATAAATGTCATTTGGTTTCCACTGTAATTTTTATCATTCTCTTGATTCTATTCATCTTTAGTTTATTTTGCTCTTTTTTACTTGTTTTTTTTTTCAGGTGGAAAAAAGATAATTGATATGAGATCTTTCTTCTAGTACAGGCATTTAAAGTAAATTTCCTTGTAAGCATTGCTAACAGCAACCCATACATTTTGATATGTATGTTTTTGTCTTCATTTGGTTCAATCTATTTTCTAATGCCTCTCATTATTTATTTTTGGAACCATTTAAAACATGTTGTTTAGTTTCCAGATATTCAGTTATATCCCAACTTATTTTAGTGGACAGAGTATATGATTTGTATGTCTTCAAACATTTTAAATTTGTTTTACTGCATAGAATATGATCTATTCTAGAGAATGTTTCATGTGCACTTGAAAAGAATGTGTTTACCTCTGTTGTTGGTAAAATATTCTTATGTAAAGGCTAGTAATATTTAAATTGCTGAAAATGCTGTCAGTCTTCTAAATTGTACATAATTTTCTATTGAGTTTTTCTGTCAATTTTTAAGAATAAGCTATCAATGTCTTCAAATATTGTCAAATTTCCTAATTCTATTTTTGATTCTATCAATTTTGCTCTGTGTATATTGAATATCTGTTGTGAAGTGGGTATATATTTATAATTGTATAATTTCCTGATAAATTTACCTTTAGATGATATTTTTGAACCTAAGTCTCTATGTCTAGTGTTAAGGTAGCCACTCCAGCTCTCTTTTGGTAATGGTTTGTATATACACACACACACAAACACACACACACACACGCATGAACACACACACACATTTTGTTTCAAGACACGCCCCTTTTATCCTCCTTTTTTGGCTATTAATTTTATGTATTTATATATAAATGGTATGATACCAAAAATAGTACATTATCATATTACTGTTTTATGAAGCTGTGTGTCTTTAACAAATGATAAGAAAAGAAAAGAGGAAAGGTACATTTATATAGTCTGTTGTCTCTTTTTGTCCAATTTTCTCTGGTTACCTTCAAGCTTTTTTATAATTATCTTCCAGCAATTTGACTGTGATGTGCCTCTGTGTTTTTTCCTTCTAGTTAGTTTACGTGAGGTTTTCTAAATTTATAAATTCATTTTTTGTTGTATTTTATTAATTCTGGAAAATCCATGGTCATTTGCTCTTCATAGGTTTCTTCTATCCAGTCTCTTTCACTTCCCCCTCTTGGACTCCATTTACATGGATGTTAGACAGTTTGATATTACACCACATGCCTTGGATACTCTGTTGTTTGAATACCTTGCTTTATTGTTTTTATTTTTCCATGTTTTTTAGTTCATTGCATTGTTAAATGTTTTATTTATTTTTAGTATGTATTATTTTTGTTAATATATAATAATTGCACATTTTTATGGGATACATGTGGGAATTAGAGTTAACTTTAATAAGTGAAATAAGCTCAGCACATAGAGACAACTATCGCAGAGTCACACTTACATTTTGGAGCCAAAAATGTTGATCTTGTGGAAGGTAGAGAGTAGGATTATAATTACCAGAGACTGGGAATTGGGTGGGGGTTGACAAAGAGATGTTGGTTAATGGGTGTACACATATGGTTAGATAGAAAGAATAAATTTTAGTATTCAGTAGCACTGTAGAGTGACTATAGTTAACAATAATTTATTGTATACTTCAATATAGCTGGAAAAGAAGATTTGAAATCTCTCCAACATAGATTATAAATGTTTGAGGTGATGGATATCCTAAATATCCTCATTTGATCATTACACACTGTATATATATTTTCTCACTTTTTTTCCTGTTTGCATTTAAGTTTGGATTATTTCTACTGACCTAGCTTCAAGTTCACTGATTCTTCGGTTTTCTATATGTAGTCTTTCTGATAAACCCATCCACCAAAGATATTTTCATGTCTTGTAGCGTATATGTGTGTGTGTGTGTTAATTTCTAAAATTTCCATTTAATACACTTTCGTAGTTTCCAAATCTTTGCTTATGTATGTTGTTCATCTCTTCTACAAGATTGTATGACACATTAACCATAGTGATCTTAAAGTCTGTGTGTGATAATTCCAAAATTTGGCTTATCTCTGGGTGTAATTATGTTGGTTATTTTATCTATTGACAATGGGGTTGTTTCCATTTTTTTGAAACGCTTCATAGTTCTTAATAAAATGAAAAATGTGTTTTAAAGTAAGTGGGAATGCCTCCTCTTTTTTTCAGGCCATTAGTGTTGAATACTGCATCAATCTGATCAGTTGTTGAGCTTGGGGTTAGGGAGCAAGATCAAGTTTCTAGCCCTACTCCTAGTATTAGATAAATTCTTTCTAGTGTTTTGGCAGACTGGTAAGTAGGTTTCCTCTCCCTCTATCAGAAGTAGCTAACCAGTTACTGTGAATATGTGAGGAATGTGTCTCCTGATACTTTCTCAGCATTAGATGTTTTCTGCCTGTGTTAAAGCAGCATCAGGTCAGAGGAACAGGAATCCCCTATGCTAATTTCTGAGCTTCGACATTATGTCAGAGAAAACTTAGGGCATGCTTTATTTCAAGAATGATGAACCACACTTTGGAATTATACAGTATCCATGTGTAGATGAGCTTTTTCAAATATTCCTGCTCCATTCTCAAATTCTGGTGTAGGCTATGTATATTTTATCCACCAGAAACAACTCTGTCTCCTACTCTGTCTCCATATGTTTAGTGAATAGGCTGTGGAAAATAGCTGGGTAGTGTTTGCAGACTCCCTTTGCATCTGGGGCTTCCAAAGGTTCTAAATGATCATATTATGTTATAATTAAAAATCTTTAATAATTTGTTAAAGCTTTGATTTTTTGTTTTATCTTAACTATTTTATGATCCCCACCTTTTCTTCACATATTTAACCTAAGATGTCTACTAATTGTCCTGAAAGGGGCTTTGATTCTTTTGGATTTAGTCATCTCACTTGCCTTTCAAACTCAGTTACCTGATGGAATCAAAAAAGTAATGATGTTATTCACCATTCACTTTTACTTGCCATTTAGGTAGGAAAAAGATTCTTTTGGTTTTCTGCATCTCGAAAAAACAATAAATCTCAGATTGGACTGGGTGCCTCACACTTGTAATCGCAGCACTTTGGGAGGCCGAGGTGGGCGGATCACTTGTGATCAGGCATTCCAATCTGGGAAACATCGTGAAATCCCACCTTAAAAAAAAAAAAAAAAATTAGCTGTTGGTGGTAGTGTGTGCCTGTAGTCCCAGTTACTCAAAAGGCTCAGGTGGGAGGATCACTTGAGCCTGCAATAAGGTCAAGGTTGCAGCTGGAAGTTGAGGCTGCAATGAGCCATGATTTTGACACTGTATTCCAGCCTGGGCAACAGAGTGAGATCCTATCTGAAAAAATATATATAATATATCCTTGTATATATCTAGATAAAATTTATTGTTTTAGTAATTCTTGTTATAAGAAAATATAATTGGATTTTAATAATTTAGCTTTAGCAACTTTGTGTTTTAATCTTTCAATGTAAATCCTCCACATTAATTAGAAACACCAGTAAGTTACCCTCATTCTGCATCATTTTATGTTCTCAGTTTGCCAGGCAATCTTTCATTTTCTCATTTCCCTGTGTTTTATTCACCATTGGATTAATCAGATTGTCTTCACATTTTTTCTTTAAAATAATTTACTTTTATGCTAAATTGTTTGATTTATTGCTTAAATTTATTTTTCTACATGTCTATAGTTAATATGTCCTTTCATATCATTAACTTTTCTTCCTTTCAATTATATATTGAAAATAATGACATTTTACTTTGATATTAACTTTTAAATTAGTATTTTTAACAATACTTATTTAGGAAATAGTATTTTACTGTTTTTGTGCGCCACTACTATGGTAATTTTTTGCATATAACTGAATATTTTAAATTGAGTTTATATCCTCATAATTTTTGCATATAACTAAATATTTTAAATTGAGTTTATATCCTCATAATTTTTTAATAAGGAATCTATAGGTAGGCCTAAAAACATCTCCAGTTTGTGTCATCTTAAAATTAATTTTCTTGTATATCAAATTAAAAATTACTTTTCTTCATCCATTTTGCTATTTCTTTGATGCTGTATCCTTGATTTCTTACATCAAAAATCATTTCATTTTGTCTCTTTTCCCTTCCTTGAAACATGGTGAATATAAATGTAAATTTGTGATAGGACAGAGCTATAAATGATGATTATTCTCTATTGAACATATTTTGAATTATTATTAGATGTCATGTAACTTTCTGTTAGCTGAAAAATTGCTAGAGCTGCCTGTAAAATATTTGTAATATTACCTGTGTGTTTCATTTTACTGAAATAAAAGTCAATCTACCATTTTCTTCATTTATTGAAACTTTTGATTTTAAGGTGGATCATTTTTAATTAACTGAGAGTGATCTTTATCTGTGGTTTTGAGATTGTGAAAGTGGGCGCATTAGTATTTTGTTTTTCTTTTAGATATCTAGCATGTAAGCTTAGCTTCTGAAAACCATTTTCATATTAAATGTGAATTGGAAAAAAAAATCCTGAGACATATAGAATTGATGTTGTCTTGTAATAAGAAGACTTTTTCTTTTTTTAAAAAGAAAAGCTGACTGCATCTTAAATTTATTTTTATCGGGATTTTTCAACAGTTTCTTTCTTGACTCATACATTATTTAAATTATATCCATAGTAATTTGTGTAAAACAATTTTCTAAAACTAAATTAGAAAATCATATAGATCATAAGTGTTGGTTCTATTTCTTACATATTTCAACTGTTTAGTTTTTAATATTTGTGACTACTTGGACAATAATATCTAGAAAAGTTTTTATGTATACATATCTAAGTGGAATGGAAATCTGTTTTCATTCACAATGAGGACTAAGAGTAAGTATTTTAGAATTGACGTTAAAACGATGGAAATATTGCCTTTTAAAACTTTTTAGTTAATGTTCCTGAGATTGTATTAATATTTCAAATAACTACCCTCATCATAATATTTTTGTTTCCATATATATTTTTGAAACATTTCCAGAATTTTTAAATTCTTTATTGTTTTAGGATTGTATAATCAAGAAGTTCACTTTTTTATCTAAAATATATCTCAGTCTTTGAAATAAATATAGCTTCATGGCTGGAAAGGTTCTTTTTGTCAATCTCAGGCAACTGCTACTAGCATGCAGTTTGTCATCTGAGAAGTAAGTGGTGCATGGCCCAGGTGTGAAGTGAGCTGATAAGAGAATTATGAATCAGTTACCAAGAAAGAGAACTCCAATGTTGGCTTGAAACATCAAGGAGACTTACACTCTCAAGAATCATGGCCAGGAATAAGTTCATATAAGGCATTAATGAGAACAATTTCAAGAAATGACACAAAGCTATCATTCCAATTTAAGGCTAGTAGAATTAGCAAAACATTAAAGAAATGTTAAAAGGGTAGAATAGACTATTTAAAAAGTAATTCCTTGGTCAGTAATTTACTCAAAATGTATGTGTACTAATTGCAAAGCAATATATTACATCCTGGTGATAAAAAATACTAAATAATACAAATGGGGTCTATGCTTTCATAAACTTAGTTTCAGAAATGCCAAGGTGAAGTGCATGGTCTTTTCTCTTGGGTCTATATACTCTGCTCTCACTCTAACTCTACCCCATTTACAGCCACAGTGGAAAAGTTAAATCAAAACAATTAAGGCTGAGGGAAAGTCTTAAATATCTGCACTGTAGCCAGAATTCACTTATCATGAAATTAAGACATGTTGTATGATGTAGCTTGGGTTACTTGCATTATCAACATTGAATATTTTGATTAGAGAGGTCATAAGTGGTTTTTTTTTTTGAAAAATATCATATAACAAGTAAAAGTATAAAGTGTAAAACCAAAATTTTTTGTCACCTACCTACCAGTGATTACTCTGTTAATATTTTTATGTATATCTCTTCAGAGTATTATATTCGTATAATACAGATTCAGATATGCTGTTTGATTTTAATCCTTATATTCTTTTTTCCATTTCTTTTTCTCTCACTACCCAAATCTGATCAACCAATTACCATGTTTTATCCTACATATCATACCTTGTTCTTTGTTACTACCCTGTTGCTAGGCCACTTTCATCCCTAGCCTTCCTTGCATACTCTTATAACATAACTAGGTTCCCTGAATCTGCTCTTGTCCCACTCCAATCCATTCATCTCTTCGCCATTCAAAATATATATTTTTTAGGAAGAAAAATAATATCACATCTCTTTCTAAATCAAAAACTTTCAACTGCCATGATCTTTTACTTATAATCAATTCTAAAATCCTTAATATAGTCGAACAAGGCCTGCCTGGCTCCAATTTCTTCTTTAGCCTTTTTCCTGTATGGCTTTTCCTTCATAAACTAGAATCTGGGCTGTCTCCTTACAAAGCCCCAAGGATTAAGACAAGCAGTGGATTTGCTTGAAATGCTCTCTTTGCCACATGCCATATTTTCCTGATTGACTAATTCTTTCTTACCCTGTACATTTCATCTTAATTTTAACTTTCCATGACTTTCTTAATCCCTCAGACAAGTTTGCACTCTGTAATTCTTGTCATAATCGATACATTTAATATAAATTATTTTAGACTTTTCATTCTAACTTCTGAATTACATTATGTATTGTATCTTTATTGCTTTCTGATATATTTTCACTCGAGCATTTGTTGTGAGTTAAATATATAAATTATATATTTTATATTAAACATATGTCTATGATTATTTTTAATAACTATAACATATTCCATTGAATGGATTCAGTGTACTTTACTAGGAAGTTTTTTTCTGGAACACAGGGAAATTACCTGAATGTATTCTTACTCCATTGGAGTAACCTGTATTAAGATTATTCTCAATCTTGGTACAATTTTAAACAAGCCTGCAATGAGCAACGTTATACATGTACCTTATTTATTAAGCATATATATTAGAAATAGAATTGTTGGGTAAAGTTTATATGTATTTCCAACATTACACATATGCAAAATCTGTTGCCAGAATGGCCTAAAGATGAGCAATAATTATGCCAATTTATTTTCATATTCGTAGTATAAAAAGGGCATTGAACATAAGCAAATGGCATTTGAGGCTAATATGAATTTTACTTTATGTTACTGTATTAGTTTATTTTGAAACAATTTTTAAATATATTCTTCACATAACATTTGAAATTTAACCTTTTGCTCAATAAACATTCAAGGCAACTTGTTTATGGTGACAACAATAACAATTATATCAATAATAACCGTAATCATAAGTACATGTAGTAGTAGTAGAGATTGAAGGAACAGAAGCAAGAGGTACAGAAATATTGCTATTACTACCAACATTCTTTGGAATGTAATCAACTTCACCATTACCTATTTATTGCAAACACATGGCAATCAGTGCTACCCTATTGCAGTAGGAATACTCTTAGTCATGTATAAACAAGTCCTGTCCCCACATTAAAAATTTCTAGGTACAAACATGGTTTGCTGAATATCTATTTAAAGACAACCAATCAAAGAATAAGCACATTTTTCAATGAAATAAAATCATATTCAAGTAAATATGGACATAAAAATATTTTATGTCTCTACTAACCTTCTTCCCTATTTTGATTTAAAACTTTGACAGAACTATTCTGCACTTAAACAATATATATGTTACTTAATCATTATAAATATTTTAATGACCAAAATTTTGTTCCTAAGATTATCACCTTTCTTTTTTCTCTTCGATATACCTAAAATATTGTAATCACGAAATAAATAGTAACAATAATGCTTTAAAAATGGAAACTTCTTTTCTAGTGAAGAATGTATTACTACATTCTGTCAACTTTATTTCTCTTGCAAGACCAACATTTCTCTTTCCAGCATTTATAGAATGTTTTTTAAAATGTATGTAATTGCAACAAAGTGTAACGGTAAGGTTTTGAATTTTAAATATTGTTGAGAAATCAAATAATTCTGGGATACAAATAAAATGAGGGATATGTAGGGAAAGTAATACATATATGTAGAATACATAAAATAGGTTCAATATCTACTAAACAGAATTCAGAATAGTTTACAGAATTTAAACAGCCAATAGTACCTATTAGTGGAACATGGGGTACTGAATAATTTAGATTTGATTTATTAGAATTTCTGTTTAGTCATGTTATATATCTTGAACTGTAACTAAAATTTTAAGAATGTAGTCAATTATTTTATTTATTATTTCCACTTTCACAAATATGTTTAGCACTTATATACCCTGTTAAATACTGATTACAAATAATAAACACATGGCCTTATCATACTATTGTACACGTTTTCAAAACTTTGAAATTCTCTGATGAAGTAAGGACTGAGGTTACTTTCATTTGGGTTCCTGTTACAGGTGCTTTATACTAAGATATTGACTTTGGTTGTGAGCAGTTCTTCTGGCTGAATTGATTTATGATACACTCTGTTGCTATCCAGACAGTTTCCAGTGAAATGACAAAGAAGTTCTGCTTCCATACCCAACTAATCAATGGAAAGCAAAGCAAGACCAGACAAAACAAAACCTTTTATATAAAGTGACTGGATATTAAATGTCATGTTGTATATGCTATGTGTGAAAATAAAGAGCAGACATACATATCTTGTTAATCGATATTGCTATTTGCTTTCCAAAGATAAATTTATATCTAGTACAGAGACTATTAAAACTGTTGTTGCATTGAATGGTTTGTTTAAAAATAAATAAATGCCCATACATGTTATGTGAGTGTTAATATTTCTGCTTACAGCATTAATATTTGTGAGAATATAGACATTCAAACATTTAAATTATTAAACATTTAAATTAGTAATTGACTAAATGAAATTAATATTCTGGTAGAAAAATGCCTAATACAACAAATTCTTTTGACAAATTAAAGAAGACCATGGAATACATTCAGATTTCTCAATTAATTGAGAAATTACTGTTTCTTATAATATATTACAGATTAAATAATACATTTTTACAAACTATTTTCACTCTATCTTAAAATTACATTCATATACTTCCAATTGCATTTGTTTTGAAGTATCATAAATATCACAATGCATGGAATATAATACAAGAAACTATCATATATTATCTGCATATTCCTAAACACTTAGTAGTGTGGGGCATTGTGCTCAGAAAGTAAAACCTGTGGAAGTTGGAGACGTACAAGCCAAGGAGTTATAGAAAGGTAGAGTGAGGACCGATATTAATGGATCTTGCATGCCATAATAAGCCCTAAAGAAATATTGATTAATTTAAAAAGAAAATAAGTGACATATCTGTATTTGTTTGAGCAAGATACCTAGGTACAGTGTGGAGACGGAAAAGGCTGTAGATAAATAGAATATTATTCCTGTGATACAAATAGTATAAGAAAAATATCTGATAGGAGTGGTGACTGGACAGAGAATGAAAAGGGAATATATTTGTGAGGCATTTTGAATAGAATGTTATAACTTGGTTACTGATGGAACATGGGTGGCAAGATAGAGGAATGAGTTGAGAATGTTTCTCATATTTCTAGCTCACAGATTATCTAATGTGAGCATTACATTTATTTAATCTTTGTATTAATATCAGTACAATGTACCTTATTAATTTTTAATTTATTTAATAACAATGTTGAATATGTTTTAATTTTATACACATTTGGCAAAACAAGTAATTAAAGGCATAAGTTCATGTCAACAATATTTCTTTAGAAAATTTTTTACAACCATGAAATTAACAACCCATAAACAATTGGATCAAAATATTTGTATTGATTGTCTTTTTTGATGTACTTATATGAAATTCACATAAATGGGAATTTAATTAAAATGTAAACTCATTAAGTGAAATATTCATATCTTGAAAATTTTACTCAGACTGCAATTATTAAAATGTATTTGATCATTTTCCAATTAGATGTAATTATTTATTGCCAAAAACCTCATCATTAGAAAAATAATCTCAATTCTGCATCTTATAACCTCGTTTTTCACTTTCTGTAATTAAGATACAAACTCCTATCTTTAGTAGACACAAAGTAGTAAGAAATATTGTGTGGTAAAATTCCATTTTTACTTTTTTTAAAGTGGACAATAGTTTTTTTTATTATACTTTAAGTTTTAGGGTACATGTGCACAACGTGCAGGTTTGTTACATATGTATACATGTGCCATGTTGGTGTGCTGCACCCATTAACTCGTCATTTAACGTTAGGTATATCTCCTAATGCTATGCCTCCCCCCTCCCCCCCCACCTCACAACAGTCCCCGGTGTGTGATGTTCCCCTTCCTGTGTCCATGTGTTCTCATTGTTCAATTCCCACCTATGAGTGAGAACATGCGGTGTTTGGTTTTTTTGTCCTTGCAATAGTTTGCTGAGAATGACGGTTTCCAGCTTCATCCATGTCCCTACAAAGGACATGAACTCATCATTTTTTATGGCTGCATAGTATTCCATGGTGTATATATGCCATATTTTCTTAATCCAGTCTACCATTGTTGGACATCTGGGTTGGTTCCAAGTCTTTGCTATTGTGAATAGTGCTGCAATAAACATACGTGTCCATGTGTCTTTATAGCAGCATGATTTATAATCCTTTGGGTATATACCCAATAATGGGATGGCTGGGTCAAATGGTATTTCTAGTTCTAGATCCTTGAGGAATCACCACACTGTCTTCCACAATGGTTGAACTAGTTTACAATCCCACCAACAGTGTGCAAGAGGTCCTATTTCTCCACATCCTCTCCAGCACCTGTTGTTTCCTGACTTTTTAATGATTGCCATTCTAACTGGTGTAAGATGGTATCTCACTGTGGTTTTGATTTGCATTTCTCTGATGGCCAGTGATGATGAGCATTTTTTCATGTGTCTTTTGGCTGCATAAATGTCTTCTTTTGTGAAGTGTCTGTTCATACCCTTTGCCCACTTTTTGATGGGGTTGTTTGTTTTTTTCTTGTAAATTTGTTTGAGTTCATTGTAGATTCTGGATATTAGCCCTTTGTCAGATGCGTAGATTGCAAAAATTTTCTCCCATTCTGTAGGTTGCCTGTTCACTCTGATGGTAGCTTCTTTTGCTGTGCAGAAGCTGACTTCAAACTATACTACAAGGCTACAGTAACCAAAACAGCATGGTACCGGTACCAAAACAGAGATATAGACCAATGGAACAGAACAGAGCCCTCAGAAATAATGCCGCATATCTACAACCATCTGATCTTTGACAAACCTGGCAAACACAAGAAATGGGGAAAGGATTCCCTATTTAATAAATGGTGCTGGGAAAACTGGCTAGCCATATGTAGAAAGCTAAAACTGGATCCCTTCCTTACACCTTACACAAAAATTAATTCAAGATGGATTAAAGACTTAAATGTTAGACCTAAAACCATAAAAACCCTAGAAGAAAACCTAGGCAATACCATTCAGTACATAGGCATGGGCAAGGACTTCATGTCTAAAACACCAAAAGCAATGGCAACAAAAGCCCAAATTGACAAATGGGATCTAATTAAACTAAAGTGGACAATAGTTTTAAGCATTAATTGGATGTTCTGATGTTCCAAATCAAGAGTTACAATTCACAATAAAAGGTGATGATTAATCAATCCTTTTTCTTTCGGTCCTATAAATGAATGATATTTTAAAATCGATTATTTATATTTATGTAATATATTCATTAAAATTATTTGCCAGTGTTGATGTATATTTTTAAATACATTATTACATTTTAATTTATATCTACGTGTGAGTTTTTCACCTACATGACTTATGTAAGGACAAGGTATAACATGTACATTTTGTATAATGCTCAAAGAATTGCTGTACCTGGAATGAAAAATGATAATATAAAATTGATTTGCTAACATAAATTATATTTGAAATACCAGTTTTTACTTTTAATATAAACATATAATGCCTAAAACATATAAATTGAACTATCACCTTCTAAAAATGTATTAAAGTGAAACAAATTTTATCTTAGTGGAAATGCTGATAAAAAGCTGAACAAGCTGACACTTTTTTTTACTTCTCTTTAAAAATATATCAATATGATGGGGTTTACTTCTATTTTATCATCTTCTAAACATCTTCCTGTTTTTTTCTCACCTTTTTCATTTCTTATTTCCTCATTTTATAAAAATCTTCTTTGTTTAGTTGAATGCTTTTCATGATTCTATTTTCTCTCATTTTATTGGCTTGGTAGCTGTATCTACCTGTTTCTATGTATCTATCTATCTATCTGCTTACCTACCTACTTGATTTTTATTTATCTAGTAATTGCTCTGGGATTTACAAATTCTCATTAACTTATAAGTGGCCTGAGGACAAATTCAAATGATTTTACACCCATCCACATACATTGTAAGGAGCTTACAGCAATATACTTCTGTTTCCCTTTTCTCAGCCTTTGTGTCATCTTGTCATACATTTTTCTTCTACATGCTATGAAATCTAAAATGCACTGTAATTATTTTTCAGCCAACTCAATCCACTTTTGAAGTGTTAAAAAAGAAGAAAAAATATTTTATGCTTAATTGTGCATTTGCCGTTTTCAGATCTCAGTATTCATTTCCATAGACCCAGATTTCTCTAGAGTATCATTTGCTTCTTCGTGAAGAACCTCCCTTAACATGTTTGTGCTGTTAATCTCTGGTAATGGATCCTCTCAGCTTTTTATCTCTAAAAGAAAGTCTTTATTCACCTTTTGTGAAAAAGATATTTTCTCATGGTATAGAATCCAGATTATTTGCTATTTTCTGTAAAAAATACTGTTATGTTTCAATATTTTAAAGAGATATGCATATTTAATAAATAACTATGCTTATGAAACCACGTAGTATATTTAAACTGTGAAGCAACTCAAAAAAGTACTTTGCTTAAGGTGTTGTGTAGGGGGATGGAGGAGGAAGACAATAAGCATAGAAACAAATAATGCTATAAAGGTAAGTAGGAATACATGCCAAAAAGAAAAAATGTTTCTGTAAATGTGTGGTATTAGTAAAGAAGCAAGCCGAAAGATACAAAATTCATAAATATGTGCCCCAGAGTGGGACAACGTTTGTATTATTCTAGTGAATTTTTACAAATTGGCTATTTCAAGTTAAATTTTTAAGTTCATCTAAACAAAAATCTGGATTTATACATTGGAGCCAACTGTAAAGGGAATGTTTCAACCATGATAGAGTTCACTTGTTCTTTTCTAATGTTAACAAAACCTAACTTTAAACCATAAAATATTGGGCTTTTTCTTGTCTTAATTATGTTTTCAATGTACAGTTAGATTGTGAAAAAGTTCTAATTCAGCAGTTTTTTTATTACAAGGTATTAATCACATCTTCTTATTCAAAATGATCACAGATCATTTATCTTCAACATCTTTAAGATGTTTATTCCTATTTTTAAAAACTACAAAAAATAAAACAAATTATACTCAATTTGACAAATTACTACTAATTGTCAGCAAGTATGTTATGTTGATGATTGGTCTGCCTACATGATTAGGTCCTGAATGTGATTAGATGTCATACTGGAAGCTGGAAAGAGTCAACTGAAACATAGTTCAGAATTGTTTGCTTTCCATACCCTCATTTCATTCCATATTCAGAAAATGGAAAGACTATTTTCTCTTAAGGAGTAGGCCTCTGCATATTATTTGTTTTTTAAAAAATATTTCTTTCTTGCCAAGGACAAAATAACCAACTTTTTCAAAAAATATGCAGAAGATTTCATGACCATGACAATTTTTAAAATTTCAGGTTTTATTTTGAGATAAGAAACTGAAAAACTACCACCTACATGCTACCTTTAAAGAAATTTAGACCACATAAGCCCTCTGTGAACTAAATGTTCATTCAAACCAATTAAATACATATACACACACATGCACATAGATATATAAAATATATATACTTATATTTATATAACATACAATGTGTATGTGGAGATATACATATAATCTCCCTATATATGCACATATATGTCCAGGGCTTAGTTGCTGTTTTTTTTACTGTTCAAATATGACAACTCTTTTTTCCCATGTGTATACATACATTGCAGAATATCAATGACAGCAAATCATTTAATCTGAATGGATCCAGGGTCACCTCAAAAAAAATCTGTAGACTAGTTAGGGTACAATTTCAAATATATTCCTTGGAAACAAGGCAAAAGTATATACATACTTCCTAAATCCAGGTGTGCCATAGAGTCACTATCAGACTCTCCAACATACCCTCTGGAAAAGGAAAGAGGAAGACTCAAATATCTTTTCTGCTATAGCCAGCTGTATAAATTTCATTGGTGTATAAAACAAAGCACTTGCTTTCAATTTCTATGAGTACATAGAACTCAAAGGTTCAAAACAAACATATGTATAAGCTAATGCCAGAAAAATTTTAGATGAATGATGTTGATCAAGAATTATAACTAGTTTCTAACTCGATTTATAGTTAAAAAGCCATACAGCCATTCAAATATAATAGTGGTGGTCACTTGGAATATTATGTAAGGCATCTTTAACTGTACCCTAAATAGGAAATATATAAATTTTGTTTTACTATTTTAAGGAGACACTGGCTTTCTTACTGGAGATTGTTTTTTGAAGATATTTTGATATTTTCTGTTTTTTCCCTCCTACTTGAAAAGGACAAGTGGAGGATATTCTAACATTTGGCATTGGAAGTGGAATATAATTTTGTTTGAAAATGTGTAATAGGTAAGATGCAATTGCATGCTGGTTAATATGATATGGATAGAGCAATGTTGTGATATGCTGTATTGCAACATCTCATTTCTCTAAAGAAAATAAAGTCATCAAGCCAACGTAAGAGAGAAAAAGAACATAGTTTGCAAACCTCACATATTAAATAAAGGTACCAAAACAGTTCATATCCAGGGACAATTAGTAATGTTATAGCTTTTATCTTGATATTTTGTCCTCAAGATGTCTAATTTTAACTTAATATTTTATATTTTTTCCTTATTAAAAAGCACCTGTTAAATAAACAATGTCAAAAAGAAAAGCCAGAAAAACCTTTGTAAATGTAAAGAAGCATGACAAAAAAAAATCCTGGATAATTAAGATGTAAATATAAACTTTTTAAAGCTTATATGTGGGCCAGGCACAGTGGTTCACACCTGTAATCTCAGAAATTTGGGACACCGATGTGGGTGGATCACCTGAGGTCAGGAGTTCAAGACCAGTTGGGCCAACATCTGGTAAAACTCGTCTCTACTAAAAATAAAAAATTAGACAGGCATGGTGGCAGGTGCCTGTAATCCCAGCTATTCGGGAGGCTGAGGCAGAAGGATCGCAGGAACCTAGGAGGCAGAGGTTGCAGTGAGCCAAGAGAATGCCACTGCACTCCAGCCTGCATAACAGAGTAAGACTCCATCTCAAAAAAAATAACAAAAGGGAAAAAATAAAGCTTATATGTGATGTGTATTTGTAGACAACAAAAATTTTAGATTTAGTTCATGTTTAGAGCATAGTTCAAGGAAATTATATAAAATGATATTCACATGTTAATAAACTATCATTTTTATTAAAAAGCTGTAAGAAGCTAAAAAAAGGTAGTATAAAAATACATTTTGTTTTTAAAATATATGAGTTTCCCAGAGTCATAACAAATATGCCAAATAATGATTTATTAATATTTTAAAATTAACTGTCACTTTATATGCCTAATATCATTTATGTTCATATTACTTTGTGTATAAAATTTCACTTATTTTTTGAAAAATATAGCCAGATTTTTTGTGTAAAATCTAACATTTAATACATTTATTAGTTTTGCTATCATCTCTTTTGGCCCAATATCTTAAGTAAAATATCTTTTCATTTTCTGGCATTTTTCATATGCATTTGCAATCAAATTTTTACTCACTGATATTCTATATTATACATCCAGATTCATTAATTCAGTGAGGAAATAATACTGAATTTTCTCATTAACACAACTTTATTTTTATCATTTCAGTATATTTTATTTTTTATTTTCTGTTATCTTCCCTCAGAGAACAAATAGAAGAGCTATGTACTGAATACTTTCTATAAAATGCCTGTTTCTGAAAAATAACTTATTTAAGACTTTTTAGCTATAATAGCACCACTTTTTGACAGTTCTAGGTTAACATAACCTTGGAGAGTTTGGCAGAACAGTTCAAATAAGAAACTTTCTTCTCTCCAATATTTGTTCCACTATGAGACCTGAATAATTAAATTTATTTTCTCTCTAATGAGAACATTTTGCTAACTCCTTCTCCTCAGCCAGCAATTTCTTTCTAGTATTAATCTGAAAACAGCATGTTTTCCCTTACATAAAGCTATTGGATACACTACTTCTTGCAAAAACAATGATTTACAAGTATTTTTTTTCTTAAAACTAAAAATAGGCATTTCTAATGAACTTACATAAACATGAAAGAATATTTTTCCAGATTTATTTAGCTAAACATTTAAGAAAATTATAAATGACAGATATATTGTAAGCATAAAGTAAGTGAAAAAGTATCAGTAATGTAAACATGTATATCATACGTAATTACTTGTGTTTTCTTTTGAATTTTAATTATTGTCTACAGTTCAACAACACAAATAATAGCAAAGAGGGCTTAAGTCACCTGTCAAAATACTGTTATTAAATTAAAAAAAACTAACTCTACTAATTTGGGTGTCCTGAGAAGATCTCGAACATGGTAGGTAACCAAGATAATGTGTGTTGTGAATAAAAGGAAAGAAGGTGAAAATGCCATTGCAATTATATCCTCAACAGGAATTCCAGGCATCCCTTCTTTTTCTGCAGCAACCCAAAGTGAAAAATTGACCACAGCTCTAGGTATCTGGGGTAGGGACAAACGCCTGAGGCAATCATATTTCCATTTTTTTCCACAATAACTGATTTAGAGCTTACCTGAAAACAAGACAGTTTCTCTTGATAAGAAAACATTTACTCTTTAACGAGAAAGCAACAAGAAGCAAATTAACTTTTTTTCTCTTTTGCATATGAAATGAACGATGAATCTTTATTTTTCTCTTGCTTTTGTCTGTCATTCAATAATCACATGAAGAATCAGTGATAGGATGTGGCCAATGCTGTTGATTTCATAGGAGAGACAAAAAAGTTTTTTGTCGAACTTTTGAACCAATCCTGCATTTCTATTATTTGTAGCTAACACCATGCTATTTTAAAGGAAAGGAAATATGGTAAAAAGGGATGAAAATATTATGACAGAATGGTAATGTTGAAACTATACATTAGCATACAATCCAATCATATAACAAAAAGAATAAATATTAAATATCCTTAAAGAGCTTATTTGGATAAAGACGTGGAGCAGAAAGAGGAGTATTCAAGGACAAAAATCTTTTTGCCTTGCTTATTGGTTTAAAGAATCATTTATATTTTTAAAATGATCATCCTTACAGTAGGAAGTATGTAGATTTTTATAATTATACTGAGGCCATTTTAATGGTTTAATTTGCTAATACTCTTAATCATAATAATAGTTATCAATGCATTGCCAGATGTTCTATCCTAATAATGATGAAGATATGATGGTAAGAAATTATTAATACATATAAATAATTAATCAAATTTGTAAATAGTTTTGTTGGGCATTATGGATTTCAAAAAACTATCCCTGCCCTTTAGGGAAAAAAAAGTAAAACAGCTATAGAAAAAAAACTACTGAGCTTGAGCAAAATTATATACATGGAAAGACAGTATTATCCATATTACTAAACTGGAAATTTCATATGATGTGAAATAAGAATTTAATGAGATGTTAATGATGCTGTACAACTAATCATTGCAAACTATAACGAAGAGATTATGTAAATATATATATGTGTGTGTGTGTGTGCATAAAAGACTCAGAATAGCCAAAGCCACCCTGAGCAAAAAAACAAAACTAGAGGAATCACATTACCTGACTTCAAATTATACTATTATGAAGCTGTAGTAACCAAAACAGCATTGTACTGGCATAAAAACAGACACATAGACCAAAGAAACAGAATAGACAGCCTAGAACCAAATTTCTGTATGTGTCAACTCATTTTTGATAAAGGTGCAAAGAATATACATTGGGTGAAAGAAGACTCTCCTCAGTAAATGGTACTGTGATAACTGGATATACATGTGAAGAAAAATAAAACTAGACCCCCATCTTAAATATAAGACCTGAAACTATGGAATTACTTGAAGAAAACATTGGGGACACACTCCATAACACTGTTCTGGGTAACAATATCTTGAGTAATATCTCAAAAGCATAGGCAACTAAAGCAAAAATGGACAAATGGGATCACATCAAGCCTAAAAGTTTCTGTACGACAAAGCCAACAATCAGCAAAATGAAGAGACAGCCCAGCCCACGGAATGAGAGAAAATATTTGCAAATTACCCATCTCACAAAGGATTAGTACCAGAATATATAAAACATATTAAAGAGGTCAAACAGATCAGGAATAAAACAAATCATCAAATTTTAAAATGGGCAAAATATCAGAATAGACATTTCTTAAAGGAAGACATACAGATGACCTACATGTATATGAAACACTTAACATCAATAGTACTCAGAGAAATGCAAATCAAAACTACCACAAGAGATCATCTCACTCAGTTAAAAATGGCTTTTACCCAAAAGACAAGCAATAATAAATGCTGGCAAGGATGTGGAAAAAGGAGAACCCTCCTACACTGTTGTTGGGGAAGTAAATTAGTTCAGCCGCTATGAAGAACATTATGGAGGTTCCTCAAAAAACTAAAAATAGAGCTACCCTATGATCCTCCAGTGCCCAAAAGAAAAAAAAATAGTATGTTGAACAGATATCTGTACTCTCACGTTTATTACAGCACTATTCAAAATAGCCAACATTTGGAAGCAACCTAAGTATGCATCACAAGATAAGTGGATAACAAAATGCAGTAGATATACACAAGGAAATTTTATTCAGCCATAAGAAATGTAATCCTGTCATTTGCATCAACATGGATGGAACTAGAGGTCATTATGTTAAGTGAAATAAACTAGGCACAGGAAGATTAAGTTCACATGTTCTCACTCATGCATGGGAGCTAAAAAAATAATTTATGGAGATAGGCAGTAGAATGGTGGTTACCAAAGGCTGAGAACGGTAGAATGTATGGTTAATGGGTACAAAATAAGTTAGAATAAATAAGATCTAGCGTTCATTAACACAATAGAGTGATTATAGTTAAAAATAATCTATTGTATATTTTAAGATAACTAAAATAGGGGAATTGAAATGTTCCTAACCCAAGGATATGATAAATTCTTGAGGTGATGGGTACCCCAATTACCCTACCTTGGTCATTACACATTGTATGCTTATATCCTAACATCACTTGTACCCTATAAATATATACAACTGTTATGTACCCATAATAATTAAAAATAAAAAATTAAAGATACCTCACAATTGACATCTAATCTTCTGTTTCTAAAAGAAGATGGTCCCCGATCATCATGTCACCTATCTATATATCTATCATCTATCTGCGTATGTGTGTGCTTGTGTGTGTGTGTGTATACACACAAAATATATACAAAATATAAAGTCATTTTAACTGAGTGAGATGATATCTTGTGGTAGTTATGTTATGGAGTATGTCCCCAGTGTTTTCTTCAAGTAATTCAACTGTTTTAGGTCTTATATTTAAGATGTGGGTCTGGTTTTATTCTTCTTCATATGTATATCCAGTTGTCACAGTACCATTTACTGAGGAGAGTTTTCTTTCATCCAATGTATATTCTTTGCACCTTTGTTGAAAATGAGTTGACAAATACATAAATTTGATTATAGGCACTCTATTCTGTTTCCTTGGTCTATGTGTCTGTTTTTATGCCAGTACTATGCTGTTTTGGCTACTACAGCTTCATAATAGTATAATTTTAAGTCAGGTAATGTGATTTCCCTAGTTTTGTTCTTTTTTGCTCAGGGTGGCTTTGGCTATTCTGTCTTTTGTGGTTCAATGCAAATTTTAGGGTTATATTTTCTGTTTCCATGAAGACTGGCATGGGTATTTTGATGAGGACTGTATTGAATCTCCAGATTGCTTTGGATAGTATAGACATTTTAACAACACTGATTGTTACAAATCATGAAAATGAAGTATGCTTTCATTTTCTTGTGTCCGCTTCAATTTATTTTGTTAATGTTTTATGGTTTCCATTGTAGATATCTTTTACTTGTTTGGTTAAGATTATTTCTAGGTATTTTATTTTATTTGTAGCTGTTGTAAATGGAATCCTTTTCTTGGTTTCTTTTTCAAATTGTTCACTGTTGGCATATAGAAATGCTATTGATTTTTGTATGTTGATTTTGTATACTATAAATTTACTGAATTTGTTCACCAGTTTTAAGAGTTTTTTTTGGTGGAGGCTTTAGGTTTTTCTAAATATAAGATCATGTAATCTGCAAACAAGCACAATTTGACTTCTTTACAGTTTGGATGCCCTTTATTTCTTTCTCTTGTCTAATTTCTCTTGTAGGATTTCCAGTACTATGCTGAATAACATTAGTGAAATTGGACATCCTTGTCATGTTCTAAATCTTAAAAGAAACACAGTTTTTCCACATTCAGTATATTCATATGGCTTCTATTGTGTTATGTTTCTTCTATACTAAGGTTTTTTAAAGCTGGTTTTTTTTATCATCAAGGGATATTGAAATGAAGAAGAATAAAATACTTCCAAATTCATTCTACAAGGCCACTATTGCCCTGATACCAAAACCAGACAAAAACACAACCAAAGAAAACGAAGCTACAGGCAAATATTTCTGGTGAACATAGATGCAAAAATCCTTAACAAAATACTAACAAACAAAATTCAGTAATGCATTGAAAAGGTCATTCATCATAATCAAAGAAGATTTATCACAGAAATGCAAGACAGCTGCACATACAAAAATTAATAAATGTAATATACCACATCAACAGAATTAAAGAACAAAATCCCTACGATCATTTCAAGAGATTCCAGAACAGATAACATTTTTAAAAAATGCTCAACCAAAATAATTTAGACTAGGCCCTACTTTATGTTAACCATTTTTAAAAATGCTTATAATTTAAACTAATTCTGTAAATTATAGATATATTAATTCTGTAAGTTATGGCAAATACAAATGTTCCATGTCAATTAAATTGGAAAAACATTAGAGGTTTTAATACTTATCAGCACACTAAAGGCTATAAAAATTACTCTAGAAAAAGAATCTGTAAAAAGCCAAATTAAAAAAAAAATTAAGTTTTGAATAGATGATTCATTCAAAAGGTACAAACTATTATAAATAACATAATTATCATTTTAGGTTTTCCATATATCCTGAGGCTATCATAATTACCAGGGTTTTTTTTTTTAATATTCAAGAGGCTAATTCTCTTTCTCTCTCTCTTCCTCTCTCTCTCTCTCTCGCTCTCTCTCATTTTATTGTAGGTAAAGATCTAACTTCCTTTCATCCTTTTCACTAAGAAGCTTATGTCCCCTGTGGCAATGAGATAGTGCCACCTTCTGTCACCTGGACAGTGGGTACATGGGAGGAATACAAAGAGGAAGAAGCTAAAGAACAGAATTGGTTTAATCAGTTTATGAAGTCCTAGATGGACAATTGGCAAATTCATGCAAAAAACAGAGAAGATTTATTATTTCAAAGCTTTAAGAATTGAACTGTGGCATGAAAAACTGCTCAGTTCTCAAATAGGTCTCTGAGTAGCTCAAAAATGGAACAGATAAAAATAACATTGCAGAAGTTTTTGAAACTAAACCGAAGTCTGAAGCATGGTTCACAAAATTAGGCCAGGCCATGCATGCAAAATTAAAACGGGTTAATTGCTTATTAAAACAGAAGAGTTTAGCAGGAACAAGAGATTCATAAAATATACCCCAAATGTCCGGTATACAATAAAAAAAACTTGTCTTACCAAGCATCAGGAAGTCTCGACAATGAGAAAAAAGCAAAACAATAGATACCAACACTGCGATAACATATACGGTGGCGTTATTTGACAAGGATATTAAAGATGGTATTATGAAAATGCTCTAGCAAGCAATTATGATTACTTATGAAACAAATAAAAATCATCTCAACAAATAAATAGGAGACAATATAAAAACAAATTTTAGCATTAAAAAATTCAATGACAAAGAAAATATTCTCTGTATGGGTTCAATAGAAGAATGAAGGTGATTTAGGAAAGACTCATTGACATTGAAGATAGGACAATTGAAATTATCTAGATCGAATAATGGAGAATAAATAGAATTTTAAAAAAATAAACTGTGGGGCCTGTGGGACAATAAGTAAACATCTCATATTCACATCATTGAAGTCATTGAAAGAAAAGAGTAAGCTCATAGGGCACTGAAAATTTAATTTAAAAAGTAATTGCTGAATCTTTTTTCAATTTAATGAAACTTGCAGATCAAAGAAGTAGATCTAACCAGAAACAGAATAAACCCAAAGCATTTCAATTTCAAAACATCAAAATTAAATATCTGAAAGCTAAGACAAAGGCAAAAGAAGTCTCTAAAGCTGTCAGAAACAGTGCATTGCATCTGGATGAATAACAGTTTGGATTATAGTGGATTTATCACTAATTCATACAGGCTGGACAGGAGTGGGAAAATGTTTTTAGAATACTGAAAGAAAAAAGTCTTGTAATACAAAAAATGTATATCTACTGAAAATATTCTTAAGAAATAAAGCTGAAATAAGTCATTCTTAGATTAATGAAAATAATTTGTTGACAGTCAAAAAAATGGTTTTTTTATTTTTATTTTATTTTATTTATTTTATTGTATTTTCATTTTATTTATTTTATTTTATTTTTTTGAGACAGAGTCTCGCTTTATCATCCAGGCTGGAGTGAAAGGGTAAATATATAGGAAAAAATAATAGACCATTAGACCGTCTTTCTAATTTTATTTTACATATTTATTTTTTATTTTATTTATTTATTTATTTATTTTTGAGACGAAGTCTTGCTCTTGTCGTCCAGGCTGGAGTGCAATGGTGCCATCTTAGCTCACTGCAACCTCTGCCTCCCTGATTCAAGCAATTCTCCTGCCTCAGCCTCCTGAGTAGCTGGGGTTACAGGCTCACGACCCACATCCAGCTAATTTTCGTATTTTTAGTAGAGACAGGGTTTCACCATGTTGGCCAGGCTGGTCTCAAACATCCTCCCGCCTTGGCCTCCCAAACACCTGGGATTACAGGTGTGAGTCACTGTACCCAGGCTCTGTTTTTCATTCTTTAATATTATGTCTGACGGTCAACGTGAAAATTATAATATTATTTCATATGATTTTCAGTATACATAAATAACATATTTAAGACAATGATAGTATAAAAAAAGGAAGGTAAAGGGACCTAAGTGTAGGTAATGTTTTTAGATTCCATTTGAAGTAGTAAAATATCATTTTTTTGTAGACTATGATGTTACATATAGAAATTGTGATCTCCAGAGCATCTACTAAAATGAAATAAAATTGCCACAATATATACTGAAAATTCTATATAAGATACTAAAAATATCTTATATATATGATATATAGACAGATATAAAAAGATACTATATATATGACACACTAATATAACAAAATTGAATTTAAATCATCTAAATAAAAGACATAGATTGGCAGGGTGAATTAAATTATATCCAACTATATGCTTCCAGAAAAATTTACTTAAAATATAATTATACAGTAAAGTTTACAAATATAATTATATGGTTAAGTTAAAAGTAAAAGGATGCAAACTAATATACTATGCAAACAACAGCCAAGAGAAAGCTGAGAGGCTGTAGTAACTTCAGAAAATCTAGACTTCAGAGCAAAGAAAGTTAGCATGGATAAAGAGAGATATATCATAACAAAATGGTCAGTTAATCACAAAGAGGTAGCAGTCTTAAATATGTATACACCAAACATTGGAGCTTCAAAATACATAAAGCAAAACTGAAAGAACAATAAGGAAAGGTAGACAAATTGTAGCTGGGGCCTACAACAGCTCTATTTCTTAGTAATAAACATTAACAGGAAACAAATAGGTAGTTGCCTGGTGAGTGAGATGCCTGAAAGGACAGATTACAAAGGAGTGTAAGGAAATATCTGTGTATAATGAATATGTTTATTATTCTATTTAGTAATTATTTTATAGTGGGTACATATGCCAAAATGTAGCAAATGGTGCACTTTAAATATGTGTGGTTTATAGTAAGTCAATAATAACTTAATAAATAATTAAATAAAGGGGATTTTTTTTTTTGAGACAAAGCCTTGCTCTGTTGTCCAGGCTAGAGTGCAGTGGCGTGATGTCGGCTCACTGCAAGCTCCGCCTCCTGGGTGCACGCCATTCTCCTGCCTCAGCCTCCCGAGTAGCTGGGACTACAGGCGCCCACCACAACGCCCGGCTAATATTTTTTTTTATTTTTAGTAGAGACGGGGTTTCACCGTGTTAGCCAGGATGGTCTCCATCTCCTGACCTCGTGATCCACCCGCCTCGGCCTCCCAAAGTGCTGGGATTACAGGCGTGAGCCACCGCGCCCGGCCTTAAAGGGGAATGTTTTTGAAGAGACAAAAGTATGCAAACCATTGGGCCTAGCAGATCGAATTTTAGAATTTTTTCTTAGATAATGAGCATATATATTTATTAATTTTTAGCTAAAATTGTTTGTCTCAGCATTGTAAATAATAGTGGAAACGGTTAGATATCTTAAATTTCTAATACTCGTGTTTTGGTTAAATTAATATATAGTTATGACTAGAATACTAGGTAGCAATAAAAAATGACACGTTATGTGACAGTTGCAAATTCCATTAAAGTGATATATGCCTGTACAGAAAAACTGAACATATATATACCAAAATGTAGAGATTAAGGAGCTCTTCTATTTGAAACTACCATTGAACACCTGCTGTCTGATTCTATGTGAATGTTGAAAAAGTGAATCATTCCAATAATATATCTACATTAAACATCATTATTTACTACCTATGCTTATGCATTTTGACATATATGTTGCTATGCATGTCTCTTTTCATAAAAAATAGAATCCTGTTATTTTACTTTCTTAGAATTCTGGTGATTTTTTTTTGATAGGGAGGGAGGCTACTGAAGTATAAATAGCATTAAAAATTTTTAATTAAAGAAATTGTCAATAAATCAAATTTTATTTGTATTAATCTGTAGAATAATCTGAGGAGTAAAATTTATTCCTAACACTAGACAAGCGGTAGATTATTCACTATAAACTTTATTTCCACATATTTACTTTCACTTATAAACTGGGATTTGAGTTTCAAAAGAATGTACAGTTATCTTTGCTGATTTCTTCTCTGTTTTATCTTCAGTTTCAGCTATTCTTACTGGCTTATGTACATTTTTACAATAGCCAATTAATGGCTTACATACATTTTTACAACACATTTTTACAATAGCCAAAATTATTTGGCTCTTTTTAGCATGATCTCAGTGATCTCGCCAATATATTTTTGAAAATGCTGAGAAACCTCTCAATGCATATGAAATATATGTTTTCTAAAAATCCTAACAAGTGGTTGTCCCTTTTTTTTTTTTTTTTTTGGTGATTATTTCTTCAAGTACTGGGCTGTGAATTTATCAGACACTGCCATGAGGAGAGATTGACCCAATGCACTCCAGCCTGAGTGACAGAAAGAGATTCCATCTCAAAAGAAAAAAAAAAAAGAGCCTATACCAGACCTTTCAATTTCTATCATATCTTTTATAAAATGAAAAACAACAACAACAACAATACAAAATACATAAGTAAAAACACATAATGTACCAAGGCACCATCCATTCAGGACTAATTTGCAATTTTATAATAGCATTCTTGTCACTATTCATGGAACTAGGCTAAACTGTTTAATTTACTCTCCACTGTCATTGCTGGTCAGCATTTATTAGATTATGTCTTCATACATTATTTGCTTGTATGATCATTTTTCCTCTTACATTAAACGTACTTTGTTATGTCTTCCTAATTAATACAGAGCGAATAACATACAATTTATTCTTACAATAAAACATGAATATTAACGTAGATAAAATGATAGCGGTAACTTTATTTTTACTTTTTATATTACTAAATCAATAATATGTGAAAATAAAACTGGGATAGGCTTAAAAAGTGCATAAGCAAATTCCGCATTTAAGGAGCTTAGATATTGCCACTTTTTCCTAAGAATAAGTATAAAGCTTAATAAATTATAAATTGACAACTCTTTTTAGGCTTTTGAAAGAAGTGAAGTCCTGGGACAAATGACTTCCCCCAAACTGAGAAGTGGCAGGCAGTTACAGAGAACAGCTCTGTGGAGCAGACTTCTGTGGAACCACACTCGGGTAGAAAAACCTGGACTCTAATTGAATTACAGGATTCTGGGTGTAGACAAAATTGATAATTAATAACTCCAGGAGAATCTAGTCATAGGGGAACCTTACAATTTTGTGTTTTACCACCAGGAGATCTACAGATTCTCACAGCAAATAACAGAGAAAAAAAGAAAGAAAAAAACAATAAAACAAGAAAAAATCTTCTCTTACTTTCAGTGGGGGTAGGAGAAAAGAAACCATTTTGAAATACACTAGAGCACTCTATTCTTCTTAACAAGCTTTGCTCTCAAGAGAAACTAGTTAACCACAGGTTTTTTGTTTTTTTTTAGAGTTTTCAGTGCCTAACTGATCTAGGGGTAGGGAAATAGCTCCAGCCTGCTCTAGACATCCTGCCCCACTTAATGGCAGAGAAAAAACTGAGAAACACTAGTGAAGTTCATATTTCAGAGGCCTAGGTTCACTAAAATACTGAGACATAATCATAGGACTATCAAAATCTTCCTCTCTGTCAGTTATTACCACTACAATACAGAAGACCTTGATATGTTTTGTCTCTGTGTCCTCACCCAAATTTACCTTGAATTGTAATCCCCGTAATCCCTTTGTGTCAAGAGACCAGGTGGAGGTAATTGAATCATCGAGTTGGTTTGCCTTATGCTGTTCTTGTGATAATGAGTGAGTCTCATGACATCTGACTTTTTTTTTCTTTGTTTTCTTTAAGTTCTGGGATACATGTGCAGAATGTGCGGGTTTGTTACATAGGTATACATGTGCCACGGTGGTTTGCTGCACCCATCAACCCTTCATCTAGGCTTTAAGTCCCACATGCATTAGGTATTTGCCCTAATGTTCTGCCTCCCCCTGCCCCTCACCCCGACAGGCTCCAGTGTGTGATGTTCCCCTCCCTGTGTCCATGTGTGTTCCCATTGTTCCACTCTCATTTATGAGAGAGTACATGTGGAGTTTGGCATTCTGTTCCTGTGTTAGTTTGCTGAGAATGATGGTTTCTAGCTTCATCCATGTCCCTGCATGGTTTTATTAGCGTCTGGCATTTCTCCTGCTTGCACTCATTCTCTCTCCTGCGGCCCTGTGAAGAGGTAACTTCTGCCATGATTGGAAGTTTCCTGAGGCCACCCTAGCCATGTGAAACTGTGAGCCGATTAAATCTCTGCTCTTTATAAATTACCCAGTCTCAAGTATTTCTTCATAGCAGTGTGATAGCAGACTAATACAGCAGTTCTTTTTTCCAATACATTATGTCTGAATATCAAGGATATATTACAAGGCATACTAAAACACAGTAAAAGAAAGGCAAAAACCAAACACAACAAACAAAAAACTAAACAGTTCGAAGACACAGTAACACATTAGAAACAGGCATGGGTGGGATATTGGAATTATCAAACAAGAAATTTAAAGCAACTATGATTAATGAGATAACGGCTCTAACGGATAAAGCAGACAGCATGCAAGAACATAAGAAAATGTAAGCACAGAAATGAAAATCCTAGGAAAGAACCTAGAAGAAATGCTAGAGATCAAAATCATTGTAACAGAAAGGTATCTGAAAATCTCATTAGGAGATTGGCCCCAGATGAGGAAGAAAATCTCTCAGCTTGAATATTTATCAATAGAAACTTCCAAAGCTGAAACAAAAAGAGAAAAGGCTGAAATAAACAGAACAAAATATTCTGCAGAGTGGGACAACTACAAAAGTTGTAACATATGTATAATGGAAATACTAAGAGGGAGAAGAAAGATCAAGGAGTAAAATAAATATTTGAAGAAATAATAACTGAGAATTTCCCTCAAGTTAATGTCAGATGCCAAACCACAGATTCTGGAAGCTCAGAGAACACCACACAGGATAAATGCCAAACAAAACAGCACAAAACGAAATTTAAAACTGCACCTTGGTATATTATTTGCAAACTACAGAGAATTTTAAATGAAGAAAAAATTTTGAAAAACGGTGGTTTGGGTCTGAGAAAGCACATTACCAAAACAGGAACAAAGACAAGAAATCTATCTTCCCTCTTCTCAGAAGCCAAATTAGCAAGAACAGAATAGAATAAAATATTTAAAGTGTTGAGAAAAAAAAGAAAATACACCAAGGTAGAGTTCTGTACCCTGTGAAATTACCCTCGAAAAGTGGAGGAGAAATAAGGGCTTTTTCAGATAAACAAAAATTTATGGAATTTGTTACTAGTAAAAAATGCAAAAGATGTTTAAAAAGAAGAGAAATAATATAGGTCAGAAAGCAACATCTACATAAATAAACAAGAAGCGTCAAAGACAAAACCAATGAAAGTAAAGTAAATGCTTTTATTTTTCTTATTCTTAATTGATCTAACAGATAACAGTTTGTTCAAAATAATTATAGCAACAATGTATTCAATTATGTATGGTTCTGTATATATTTTATATTCATTATTATATATGAGTGAAATGAATGACAGCAATAATACAAGGGATAAGAGGATAAGTTAAAATTATTTTCTTATTATAAGGTACCTATAGTACCTGTGAAACAGTATAGTGTTATTTAAAAAGTGTGCTTGAATTAGTTGTAAATACATATTGCAAACTCTAGGGCAACTACCAAAAAATAGGAAAAAAAAAGAACCATAGTTGATATTCTGAGAAAAAAGAGAAAATGGAAAAATATAAAATGCTCAATTAAAATCGCAACAGGCAGAAGAAGAGTAGAAAACAAAATTAGGAACAAAAATCAAGGGCAATAAATAGAAAATAGTAAAAAAAATATGGTGGATATCAACTCAGGTATATAATAAATCACCTTGGATGTCAATATTCTAAGTATAATACTTTGGCAGAGATTGTTTGAGTGGATCAAAAAAAAAAAAAGACCCAACTATATTTTGTCAAAAAATAACCATCTTTACATATATGGACACATCTAGATTAAAAGTAAATGGATGGAAAAGTGGGTTGGGGAGACAATTGTCAAAAGGATACAGTATTTCAGTTAAATTGGAGAAATAATTTCAAGAGATCTAGTGTACAAGAGTCCTCTATAGTTAATAACAATGTATTGTATCTTTGAAAGTTGCTGAGTAGATTTTAAGTAGATTGCTTAAAGTAGATTTTCACCATAAAGAAATAACTGTGTGAGGTAATGTACATGTTAATTAGCTGAATTTATCCTTTTTAAAATGTACACACATTTTAAAAGAACATGTACATGATAATTACATACAATTTTGTCAATTAAAAAACATGGATGGAGAAGTTATACTATGCTAACACTAATCAAAGGAAAGCAGATATAGCGCTATCAATTTCAGAGTAGACTTTAAAATGAGGAAATTTACTGGGGACAAAGAAAGACATTGCATAGCAATAAAGTGGTCAATTCTCCAAGAAGACATAACAATCCTTAATGTATATGTACCTAACAACAGAGCATATGTGAGACAAAATCTGATAGAACTATAAGGGTAGATAGGTTAATCTACTATTATATTTGGAGACTTCAATACCTTTATCATAAACAGACAGACTCATCAGGTAGAAAATCTGTAACGACATTGTTGAACTCAATAACACAATCAATCAACTCAATATAATTGACATATATAGATTACCCCATTCAACAGCAGCAGAATACATATGCTTCCATACAATACACACCAAGATAGATTACATTCTGGGCCATAAAACACATCCTAATAAATTTAAAAGGACAGACATTGTACACTGTCTGCATTCAGACCACAGTGGAATTAAACTAGAAATTAATGACAAATAGATAACTAGAAAATCTTAAAGTACATAGAGGTTAAAGAAGACATTTCAAAATAATTCATGAGTAAAAAATTAAATCTGAAGAGAAACTTAAAAATATTTAAAATTAATTAAAATTTTATAAAAACAACTTTTCAAAATTGGAAATGGAGTGAAACCAGTGCTTGGAATAAAACATAGTAATAAATTCAAATGCTAGAAAAGAAGAAATATCTATAAGCAGTTATCCAAGCTTCAATCTTAAAAAACTTGAAAAACAAGAGCAAATAAAATCTAAAGTGAGCAGAAGAAATGAAAGAGAGGATATCACCACAGATGTTATGAAGATTAAGAGGATAATAAGAGTATTACGTATAGCTCTATGCCCACAGATTTGATAAGCTAGATAATATGGATCAATTCCTTGAAAGACACAATCTGCCAAAATTTACACAAAAAGAAACAGAAAACCTGGATATACCTATATCTATTCATTATATGTAATCAATGATTAATAACATTCCAAAAGCGAAAGCACCAGTGAATTCTACTGGACATTTAAGAAATAAATCATACAAATTCTCTAAAATATCTTTCAGAAGATAGAAATATGAAAAATACTTCCTTACTCATACTATGAGACAAGCATCACACTATCAAAACCAGACAAAGACATTACAAGGAAATAAAACTACAAACAATATTTCTAATAGATATTTATGCAAAAATTCTCAGAAAATAGCAAATGGAATCCAACAATATATGAAAAGAATTATTCACCAGTTCCAAGTTGGATATATCTGAGGTATGCAAGGCTAGTTTAACATTAGAAAGCCAATTAATGTAATCAATCACATCAACAACTGAAGAAGATAAATTATATGGTCATATCAACAGATGGAGAAAAAACATTTGCCAATGTTTAACACCCATTTATGATAAAAAGAAAAACTCTCAGGAAACTAGGAATAGAATAAAACATCCTCAAGTTGATTTTTTTTAAGTTATACTGAAAACCTACAGTTAACATTATACTTAATTGTAAGAAACAGAAAACATTCCCAACACAATCAGGAGCAAGGCAAGGATGTTCCCTCTAAACACTCCTTTTCAACATTAAACTGAAACGTTCTACTAAATATCGTGAGACAAAGAAAGGAAATAAAGGGGATGTTGATTTGTGAGGAAGAAATAAAACTGTTTTTTTCACATATTGCATAATTTTCTGTATTGAAAACACAAAACAATTGACAAACTCTTCTAATAAGCAACTATAGCATGTTTGCTGGCTACAAAGTTAATACACCGAAGTTAAAATCTTTCCCACATACAGAATGAACAAGTGGAATTTGAAATTAAAAACACAATACTATTTGCATTAGCACCCCTAAAATGAATATTTAAGTATAAATCTAACAAAATATGCAAAATATCTATATGGAGAAAAGTACAAATGTCAAAAGAAATAAAAAATTAACTAAATAAATGGAGATATAGTCCATGTTCATAAATAGGAAAAATCAACATTACTATTATATTGGTTCTTCCCAAACTGACATATAGATTCAATGCAATCCTAATCAAAATGCCAGCAAATTATTTTTAGATATCAACAAACTGATTCTAAAGTTTATATGGAGTGTCAGAAGATACAGAATTGCCAAAACAACATTGAACGAAAAGAAAAATGTTGGAAGATTGACTCTTTCTGACTTCAAGACATGTCAAGCTTCAGTATGAAAGACAGTGTGGGATTTATGAAATAATAGGCAAACAAACCTGAAATAAAATAGCCCGGAAACAGTTAAAAATGTATATAGTATATAGTCTATTGATCTTTGACAAAGAAGCAAAGGCAATACACAATGCAGCAAAGATAGCCTTTTCAACAAATAGTACTAGAACAACTGAATGTCCACATGCGAAAAAATAAATCTAGACACATACTACACACTTCACAAAAATTAACTCAAAATGGATCATAGACTTTGTAAAAGGCAAATCTATAAAACTTTGAGATGATATCATAGGAGAGAACCTAGATGTTCATGTGTATGACAATGAATTTCTAGATACAACACAAAAGGCACTACCCATAAAAGAAATAATTCATGAGAAACTTCATTGAAATTAAAGATTTCTACTCTGTGAAAGATACTGTTATGAGAATAAAAAGACAAGCCATAGACTGGGAGAAAATATTTGCAAAAGACATATCTGATAAAGGATTATTAACCAAAATATACAAAGAACGCTTAAGACTCAAAAATAAGAAATGAATAGAATTAAAAATGGGTCAAAGACCTTAACAGACACATCAAAAAAGAATATATACAAATGGTAAACAAGCACATGAAAAGTTGCTCCACATCAGAAGTCAATAGGAAAATGCTACTTAAAACAATGAGATACCAGTACCTACTTACTAGCATGGCCCAAATCCAGAATATTGATAACACCATATGCTGATGATAATATGGAGCTACAGGAACTCTCACTTATTGTTGATGGAAGTGCAAAATTATACAGCCACTGTGAAAGACAGTTTGGTTGTTTCTTACAAAACTAAACATGTTGTTTTCATATTATTCAGCGAATATGCACCTTGATATTTACCCCAGAAAGCTGAAAACTTATGTTTACACAAAAACCTGAACACAGATGTTCATAGCAGCCTTATTAATAATTGCCAAAACTTGGAAGCAACCAAGATGTCCTTTACTAGGTGAATCAACAAATAAACAGTGGTACATGCAGACAATAGAATATTATTCAGTGCAAGAAATACATGACATATCAAGCCATGAAAAGACACAGAAGAAATTTAAATGCATATTAGCAAGTGAAATAAATTAATCTAAAAAGCTATATGACATTGTAGACAAGGCAGAACTATGGAAACAGTATCAGTGATTGTAGAGGATTAGGGCATAGTGAGGGATGAATAGACGGAACACAGCATTTTTAGGGCAGTAGAACTGCTCTGTATGATAGTATAATGGTAGATACATGGCAGTATCCTTTTGTTCCAATCTAGAGAATGAACACCAGGTGTGAGACCTATTGTAAACACACTGTGGACTTTGGGAAATACTAATGTGTCTATGTAGATTCATGTTTTGTAACAAATATAAGACTGATAGGAAATGTTGATAATGGTGGAGGCTATGAATGCCTCGGGCAATGTGTGGAAAATCTTTCTACTTTTCTCTCAATTTTGTTGTGAATCTAAAATCATTCTAAAGAAATAAAATCTTTTCAAAAGTGCATACAGCCTTGTCATCTGACCTAAGGTGGACAAATAATTGCAGTGTTTGGTAGGTGATCATCTTTCTTTATCTGAGAAAACAAAACAAAAAACAAAAATGAAAAGAAACATTTGATTCTGTAAATATGAGCTGCTTCATCTTCCAAAAGATTATAGTTTGTTCTTAATGGACATAAATAATATAGTCAAGTTATAAAAAAGTTTCTAATCTTTCATCAAATTAAGGATATGTATCAAAGCACTTTGCAAATGTTACTGTCTAATCTTAGGCAAATATGAACTTCAAATGATGTTAATTTTCAAATAATTTATGGGAGGGAATAGCATTTTGTAATGAGTGATGCTATATTTTTCCTTACCTTGACCAACATACATGGCAGATGAGGAGCAATAGAGTAAAAATAAATATATAAAATCAAGATTATCTCTATGAAAAACTTTTACCCTCAGAAGCAATAGACTTCAAAATGGAAGTTCTGCATCAGTATATGAGAGCAGGGTTTTATATTTTCTTTCTTGACTTATCTTTCTAACCTAACACTATAAAATTAGATTCCAGTAAAATCAGAGCTTTAAAATTCTTCCAATTTTCTTATTTTCTAATTTTTGCTCTTCGTCTCTAAAACGATCTATAAAAGAATAAAGTCATACTTCAGTTGCGGTTTTCTTTAATCTATCAGCATTCAGGCGTATCTCTAATGACATTATCCACAGAGTCATGAGAAAAAAGACTTTGAAGTATTAAATTTGGCCTCCATTTTAATATGATAACATTTTCAAAGGTGAAATAGGTCTTCCTTGAAACTAGCAAGTGATTTCATGCTGTAAGTTCCTTATTTTATTCAAATTTGATATTAAATGGAAGAGCACACAAGTATATCAGATATAGACTGCCTAATTTTGTTAAAGTCAGGCATATTAGAGATCAGAAGACCTTTCTGCTCATTACTGATAGAAAGATGACAATGTGTCATAACATTTATTCTTTATTTTTATTGAACATTATTGTCTAACACACTATCTATAATTTCTCAATAGGAATAAAATTGTAGTATGTTTAAAAACAGGTCTTAGATATGGAAAACTTCATTTTATAATTGATGGCAGTTTCTAATCAAATGATTTTAGGAAAACTAGTTCATACATCTGTTTTATTCTTTCTGACTTTTAAAATAAGTATATTAATATAGATTGTGGTAGTCTATGGGCTTTCAATATGATAGTTATTTTTTGATAAGTGTTTGTAAACCATAAGATATTAAATACTTATAAGACGTTTACATAGATTCTATCATAAATATAGAAAAAATAATCCCAGAAAACATGACTATTAATCAAAGGAAAGCCTTTTTGAAAGATCAGCAATAATATTTTAAAAATAAATCTGATGATAAAAATATTTTTGACAGTTTGTTTTACAGAAAAATTTAGCTTAGTTGAACAAGTCATAGAACAAACATAAGCATGTGCTGTCTTCTAGTCACATATCTCTTTACCTAAAATCAATTTTTCTAGTGGAATGATAAAAATAGCATATAACATTGGCACTGTGTTAAGACTTTCTAGAAACTAGAGGCAAATCTTGAACACAGCTGATTACATTTAAACAGTTTATAATTTAATTCAAAATAAAACCATGAAAACATGACTAATAACCTTATTGATTATTTGAAAATATATTTTACTTTTCTTATGCATCTGAGGATGTAAAAAATGTGTATTGTGGAATATATAGTTTTAGCTAGACATTCAAAGATCTGTAATTTTAACACAGTTAAAGAATGAAAAATTATATAAAAGAAATGTTTGGTACTAGAAAAGTCCACTCATCTCAACAATAGTCACTAAAAGAAAATAACACACATGCACACACAGACAGACATATACATACACACACACCTTGAATACTAAGGAAATGACTAAAAGACCAAATAAAAGACCCTACTAAAATTGAAAAAGATGAGACTTCTGGAATGCCACAGTAAGAAGTTTGGGAGATCTTCTCCCTTAGTGAAAGAACAATTTAGCTGGTAAAAATTGTAAAAGTAACAGTAATTAAAATTTCTGGAAATTATCCCTAAAAACATACAGAAAATGGAGACACATTCATTCAAGAATAGCTATTAAATCTTGATTAAGAACAGCTAGCATCTATGGCATTTGACCCACAACCTACTCCATGGCCAGCCCTCTGCAGCTCCATGCTATGGAAGGTCTACCCCAGTCATGGGCTCCTAAGACAAGGAGCTCTCTCCACTCTTAGCTCCCAGTCTGGTTTTATCATAGGAGGGGCTGACTTCTGTAGCTTCTCATTTCTCCTGGCTCCATGTTATAGAAGTTCTAGTCCAGGTAGGCATAGCCAAAATAACTAGGTTTCTCTTCTATCATCTAGCCCCATTTACCGGGCAGCGGTTCTACCCCAGGCGTGGCAAGTTAAGAATATCGGGGCCCTGATTGTCCTTGTTCCAGTTTATTCATAGAATAAAGTTTCCCAGCTGGTAGAGGAAGGACAAAAAGATAATGACCTACTATGCCATTTCAAGTGCTCAGTCATAGTACTGGGGTGTCCTTGTAGGAAAAGGGTATACCCGCCACAAGCTCCAATGCAGTGGCACAAGGGTACTGAAAACAATAACAACAACAAAAATCAGCTATGACTCTGCAAAGTTGCTCATTTCTCTCTGAGGGGAACAACTTAATTTGGATAAGAGACTGGAAAACTCCATGCTTAGAGTGATACCTAAAACAATAAAGACCTTGATGGACAGCAATTAAGAGAAGCCTGGTAGCTAGCTATATGATATAAACAAAATGGCAAGAAAGCTAGAAGTTTACTGAAGAGAATGAAGGAAGGAGATAGCCATGATAAGGCATTCTGAAACAACTATCTGAATCTAAAAGTTGTGCAAATATGCTAGGATGCACCCACTCAGAACAATCAGAAAAGAATGCAAGGGCAGACTTCAAAGTATTCCTTAAACCAGCAAAACAAAAAAAGAAAAAAGTCAACACAGATGAGGAGCCTCATTTGTACAAGAGGATTAAAACAACTTCTGAATAAATGCTCCATGACGATAAACCACTGTGTCCCAGGACCAACTCCTGGGAAGCCAGACTTAAAAATAAAGTTCCACATAACCCTTGCAGTCTAGAAGATTGCTTAATTGACAAAGCTGGCAAATCACATGTGCATTTAATTTAACTATGTTTAATATTCTTGACTCTATATGCAAGGATTTAGTGAAAATACAGGTGGGATATCATTAAAAAAAGAAAATAATAATTTAAGTAATCTGAACAATTCTACTCATTAAGCCTTTAGCCAAAAGTGAGCTTGAAAATTGAAAATTGAATAATTGAAATTGAAAATTGAAAATTAACTTGTACCCTTATGCTAAGAACACTTAGGCCCAGATTTGACAGATGTTAGCTGGTTCTGAATGTGGTTCTAGCATTGAAGGGCATTTTATTCTTTGCTATCCCATAAAATACTCCAATGTAAGTAAACTATTTCAAGTGTTGCAAAACCACAATCCAAAAAATGGGGTCTCATTCAGTCAGTGCTAGAGAAAAACTTGGGCAAGTCACAGCTAAATGTATAAGAAAAGTATGTTGGTCTTCAACATGGCAACTTTCTAAGACACTTTGAACTATAATTTGACTTTAGATTACTTCTGCATTCCTTTTTATACTAAGTAGTTTCAAGGATAATTTTGCCTTAACTACTTGAAAGTCAAGGAGAATGATAAATAAATTGCCTATGGTTATATATCTGAGAAGCAATAAAACCAAGATTTAAATGCAGTTCAACATTATTAGTCAGAATAAAATGCAAATCAAAACCACAATAAAATGTCACTTCACAGCCAACAGGAAAACAATCAGCATAATGAAAAGCAATAAAAAATAATCAAAATATTGCAGAAAATAGCAAGTGTTGGTGATGATGTAGAGAAACTGAAACCTGCATAAATTGTTAACAGGAATATAAAACGGTGCAGTTATTTTGAGAAACAGCTTGGCAGTTCTTCAATAATATAAACCTGACAATATTAGCTAGTAATTCAATTCTTAACTGTATACCCCCCAAAATGAAAACATATGTTCACCAAAAACTTGTAACCAAATGGTCAGAAGAGCTAATCATATTGGCCAAAAAAATGGAAACAACCCAGATGCATACCAAATGATAAACAGATAAATAAAATATGAATGTAATGTTGTACATACATGCAATGGACTACTATTCAAGAATAGAAAGGAACAGAGTAGTAATACATGCTACAACATAGATGAAACTTGAAAACATATATTAACTCTATGAACAAATGATTAGAGGAACTGCCAAGCTGTTATATTGGTTTTCTTTCAGTGAGCACAGAAATCTTCAATATTAGATTGTATCTATGGTTTCACAACTCTATACACATAATAAAAAGCATTGGTTTTTACACTTTAAATGGGTAAATTCTGTGACATACAATTATATCTCAATACAACTGTTTTTTTTTAAAGAAAAAAAAAACCTTGAGCATATGGTAAAATGAATGCCAAAATCTGATGGGAGTTAACCATTAGAATTGACATGTCGACATATGTAAAGCTGAAGTTGACATATCTTGCAGTTTCTGCCCACTCACATTCACAGCCCTTAAAACCACTTTTGTAGCCAAAAGTCATACCAAAGAGGTACCATGAGGGTATTTCTATTTGGTAATTCTGTTTCCTGGTGCCATTGTGTAGGCCAGTGATTGATACCTAATCTGGGAAAAGATCATCAATGGGCAAACAGCAGATTATAATTTTTGCAAACTTCATCTAAGAGACATGTAATTTCCAACTAGTAGTAGATTAAATAGTAAGTCCATGTTGAATTGGAGCTAGAAAAGACATATTTAAAGCCACGTTCAACATGATTAATCTGTAAAGAAGGCAGTTTTCCAAAAGAAAACAAAAACAAAAAGGTAAAAAAGACACGATGATAGAGTAACAATGTAGAGAAAAGCAGAGACGAGAAAGTAAGTATTGGGATAGGCTAGAGAAAATGACAGAGAGAGAAAGAATCTGAATGAATCATTGTTTAGGCTACTGATTACTAATTTCAACTTCTACTCGCACTGTCCTAAGTCTGCTTTTTTTCATGAGAGAACCCGCACACCAAAATGAAGATCTGACTGTGGAAGTACGATGGGTTGAGGGTAGTGCATCCTCTAGAATAAAATAAAGTCTTTAATAAGATACAACAATAAAGGCATTTAAAGCCTGCAAAGATTTTGGAACCCATGCCCTGTAATTATGAGATGCCCTGGACTTGGTACAAAAAGGTAAAAATATAAATATATTAGCATTAATACCCTTAGGCAAATTACAGAAAGGAAAATATAAACTCAGAAAAAAAAGTATACCTGTAGACAACATTAAAAAGTGACTGATTATATAATTTGTTTAGGGAAGGCTTTTCTGGGAATAGTCATAGCTTCACATGGCACAAATAAAGATAGAACATAACATACCCTCAAGATATTTTAGTCTAGAACTACAAAGGGGGGTTGAACCTTGTAAATCACACAGTACCAGGTATGGTACTACAAAAAGGCAGTCTTTTAATAGTTTCTAAATATTAGGAACTTAGGTGTTATGAAGTATTCTTTATGTGACTGGAAACTGATATTGCATTTCTCCATGGTTAAATTTGGAAATGCATGTTACCAGTGAAGTGAATTTTGTATAGACATATAAGGCAGAGTCATAAACTTGGAACTTGCTCAGATAAAAATAGAATTGTTTTGGATTAAGAAGACATCATTTCAAAATTCAGTGACAAGCTTTACTTTTTATGTATATTTATTTGTAACAAAATATACTTTTTATATATGTATTTTGTATGTTTATTTGTGAAACACTAGTGACATATTTCAAGATATTAATGTAAAGTTTTGGTGTTGATTTTGATCTTCATCAAAAGCCCACTCTTTGAGTATTTTGTCACCTAATCCTTTAACATTTTGGATAAAGGCAAAGGTAAACTTATTTTTGAGGACTCTAGTAGGTTATAATTTTTGGACACTCATCTTCTTTTTTTTATTTTATTATTATTATACTTTAAGTTTTAGGGTACATGTGCACAATGTGCAGGTTAGTTACATATGTATACATGTGCCATGCTGGTGTGCTGCACCCATTAACTCATCATTTAGCATTAGGTATATCTCCTAATGCTATCCCTCCCCCGTCCCCCCACCCCACAACAGTCCCCAGAGTGTGATGTTCCCCTTCCTGTGTCCATGTGTTCTCATTGTTCAATTCCCACCTATGAGTGAGAACATGCGGTGTTTGGTTTTTTGTCCTTGCGATAGTTTACTGAGAATAATGATTTCCAATTTCATCCATGTCCCTACAAAGGACATGAACTCACCATTTTTTATGGCTGTATAGTATTCCATGGTGTATATGTGCCACATTTTCTTAATCCAGTCTATCAAAAGTCAGGAAACAACAGGTGCTGGAGAGGATGTGGAGAAATGGGACACTCATCTTCTTGAGAGTAAAATATATAACCTGCTTATAAATCTGTACAAATCTTTTATTCTTGTGACATGATATCAGAGAGCACTGGACAAATGCTATAAAATGCAATAATATAAAATATTATTTAAAAGATGGAAAATACATGCTTTGAGCAGGAATTTACAGATTCTGTGCTATGTTAAAGAAAACTCCAAGAGCAATAAAAGTTGAAAACAAACAAACACTTTTGTAAAATAAAAATTCCTCATGAGATGCTATCATTAGGCAGATTATCACCAACACTTCTTTATTCTACTCTCTTCATATATCATTAAAAATTAGCATTTACTGGGTTAAAGTCTATACAATAAACATAAAATAAGAATTTATGGTAACAGCAGAAGCTACATAAAATGTGTTTGTGATGCTGAATACTATGTGTGGACTCTGGAGACCCATGAACTTTGGTGTCTTCAGAATTCTTTTGTGCAAAAAGAGCAGTATTAAGATTGGCACATCTATTAATCTGTTCTCACACTGCTAATAAAGACATACTTGAGACTCAATAATTTATAAAGGAAAGAAGTTTAATTAACTTAAAGTTTGCCATGACTGGAAAGGCCTCAGGAAGCTTACAATCATGGTGGAAGGGGAAGAAAACATGTCTTTCTTCACATGGCAGCAGCAAAAAGAAGTGCCAAGCAGAAGGGGGAAAAGCCCCTTATTAAACCATCAGATCTCAGGAGAACTCACTCACTATCAGGAGAATAGCAGCATGAGAGTAACGACCCCAATCATTCAGCTACATTCCACCGGGTCCCTCCCATGACCTGTGGGGATTATGGGAACTACAATTCAAGATGAGATTTGTGTGGGGACAAAGCCAAATCAAATCAGTGCACATAACAGTGCATGCACAGAGTTTTCAACACATTTTATCTAGTGTGATGACAGTGTTCATCAACATTTCATCAGCTTCAGTGTTATATAGATTTTTAACATATAAGAACATTTTATGGTTAAATTAATAATTAAAAATTTAAATAATTTTGGTTGAAACTGTCTTCTTCATAAACTTATACATATGCATATATGTGTATATGCTTATATATCTTTATACATAATATTTATGACTAAATGTTGATATATATATATCTATCAATTTTCAATTGTAAATAAGTTACTCTAAACATGTGAATTCATTGGTTCCATGAAAACTCTGAAATTATATACAAAATTATGTGTACATATGTATATGTATATTTAATTATGGTGTGGGCCTGAAATTTATGTTACAGTCTCAAAGTTGTCCTTAATTCAAACAAGTTGGAGAATCAGTACTCTAAAGGTTACTAAACATATAGGGCAAAGTGTGTAACTTAAGAAACTGCTTTTGAAACTTTATCGAGGCTGTAAAAGAGAGAGAGAGAGAAATTCCATGTCTTTTCTGTCCAAATGTCACAGGTGTCAAATGTTAAATCTATGAGTGCAATTTATCATTGATGCTTTGACATTGATGTACTGGTGATGGCCTTTAAAAATATTTTGCTTAACTAAATTCATCCTGCTAGAGAAATGCTTAGTCAAATTATAATGTCCTTCAGCACTGAGAAGAGATAACCATAAATTATGTCTAGTAGAACAAACATTTCTCAGCAATCTTTCCATTTAATTAATAATGAAGAGAATCCCGCCTGGAAGAAAATATGGTAATTTTGTCTCTAGAGCGAACAAAAATATTCTTTTTTTTCCTAAAAAAAAGGCCATTTGGAATAAATTCATCCAATCATTCATCCAGCAACCCACTGCACTTTTATTTTTCTCATGAATGTCATCCTCAGTGTATCTGTGATTATTTATTGTAAAATAATTTGGGGCTCTTGTATTGTGACAGTATTGGGAGTCAAATGGTAAAAAAACATTCATAACCACTCGAAACTTACATTCTAATGAAAACAACAGATGTTAATCTAATAATTATAAAAATATGTAATAAATAATTTCATGAGATCTTTAAGAAAAAATACAGAGTGCTCTAGGAATGTAAATTAAGAAGACTTGACCTATTCTAGAGGCAGATTTTATAACAACAAAAAGGAGAATTCATTGACAAAACTTACAAAGAGAGAGACATGATCACAAATTCAACGCTATACAAACTAATTTTTTTGTGTGTCACTTCTCTGGTTTCTGTACGTTATATTTTTTCATACTTAGTTGTTTTAAAGTATACGGGGTTACTTTTTTTTTTTTTTCAAATCTAGGGTGGAATAGGGTCAGTCATCTCTGTTTCCCGGCATTCTGAGCAATAAAAATCAGATTCATTCGTATTGAACTGGCTTAGGTCACACATAACTTCTAAATCAATCACTCTGGACAGAGAAATTAAATGTACTATTTGAAAAATGTTTCATTCCCTCCATTTCAAAGACTTTTAGGATTCTTGTTTGTAAATAATAAATATTTCAATACATGTTGTCAATTTTCACTGACAAAAAAATGCAAAGATGAAAGCAAAAGAACAGAGGAGACCTCATAGTAACACAATATTGTAGAATAAGGGGGTCACAAGCTTAGTTTTTGAAATTTTGAGGATAAGGAGCTAATGATACCTCTGAGTAAAGATTCTGAGAAGGCAGTTTCTTGTAAATACATGAAATTCAGTACAGCAGTATCAGCAAGAGATATTCAGGGTTCACTAACTTTTTTGTTTGTTTTGTTTTGTTTTGTTTTGTTATTGAGATGGAGTCTCGCACTGTTGCCCGGGCTGTAGTGCAATGGCGCCATCTCGACTCATTGCAACCTCTGCCTCCCAGGTTCACGCAATTCTCCTGCCTCATCCTCCCGAGTAGGTAAGATTACAGGCGCCCCCCACCACGCTTGGCTATTTTTTTTTACTTTTAATAGAGACAGGGTTTCACTATGTTGGCCAGACTGGTCACGAACAGAGTTCACTAACTTATACATAAAACTAGGAAATTTGGACATCAGATCCCTATCATAAAAATTAGACCATGAAAGGCACACAGGACTGAGTCCTGAGTCCTAATTCCAATATACAGAAGCCAGGCACAAGTGATCAAGAGATTACAGGTATTGGAAATAGAGGTACTAACATTTTGGCAATCCACTCTACACTGAGTAAAATGGGAAAAAAAAAGAAAGAAGGGGTCATACATATGCAGATTGATTGGGATTAAACAATTGCAGCTCCTGGTTAGATTGAAAAATGGTCATGGTAAAAGTGGTTTGAGGAGAGTTAGGAGAAAGTAGCCAGAGTTAAGCATATTTGATATTAAGATATATCCATGTGACTTTTTGTATGCAAATGCACATATACACAGAGATGATTGTCAAAATATTTTAACAGCTGGTGCCACACCCGGGTAGAATAAGGTGTTGTAGGCCACTTGCTGTGAAGACAGTTATACTTTATTTGCTGGATTAAAGTGATGTCTTAAGAGTAGGGGACAAGGCAGCTCCTTACTAATATGTGTAAAAATATTTAAATGTTTTAACACTAAATCCATAGCTGTGCAAAATAAAGCAGTTCAAGATTTCAGCAACATGTAAAATTATACCAGTGCACACACGTAAAATTTCTATAAAATCAGAACTATTTTGATTATGATCATTATTAAAAACATCAATGTGAAAATGACTCTTGGATTCTTACCTATGATACTTCTGAATATATTAACAATGTCTACAATGTCATAATAATTTCTTTTTCAAAAATATATTATTCCAGCTTTACTTTTATCTTGAATAAGTAACCAACACATATTCGAGTTTTCAGGCATGGCAGTATTTTACTACTTTATCATTTTCATTTATTAGCATCAATTACATTTTACATGAATTGGTGATTTTGGCACTGATGCAGGATTTTTGCTCTTTAGTTCAGCTAAATTGGGGTTCTTGTGTCACTACCAGGAAAAATTAGGCATGTGGACACATTGAAGTGTGAGGAGGGTAGAATTTATTGGGTGAAAAATTTAAAAAACCTCTCAGCAAAGCAAGAGGGGATACTGCCAATGGGCTCCCGCCTCACAAACTGAATACCAGGCCCCCACACACAGGAGCTGAAGAGAGACCAGACCCCTCCTCCCTGCATAGACACAATTTCCTGGTTGTCTGACCCCATCCCCCCAGTGCACATGTGGGTATTATTCAGAAAGAATCAGGTTGGAAAGGGCGGGCAAACGGGCAGTTCTCCCTCTGGGTTGCGGGTTTTATCCTGAACCAGCAGTCCAGTTTTTCAGCTTTCAGGCTGTTTTAGGCTTGAAGGTGGGGTTTCGCTGGGGACCCTTGGCTGTCTCCTGTCTCTAGCACCACATTTGGCACTAAATTCTCATTTCACATGTGTCCATTATTCTGAGTAAAGTCAATGTTCATAAAACAATTCTTTAATTCCAGTAATTGTATTTCTAAATTCCAAAGAACTTTCCTTCCATTCAACTGAAGTAATCGTCATCTGTTATAGATATCCTTGAAATAATAGTTCAGACACTATTCAACCTCTAAATTATTAATGGAATCTTATACTTTTTGACAAAAAAATACTTTTAATCCTTTCCTTTGAATACTTTCATTAAGCTTTTTCTCATACCTGTATTTCTCTCCTAATCTTTATTCACCTCATCCTAATTTTCTGTTCTTAATTGCCCTAGAATTCTCATTTTGTAATTTTGAGGACTCTCTATCCACATTATCCCCTTCCGATTCCCTATCCTTAAGTCTTCTGCTAACTTGATGTACAAAACTCCAACTCTAAATTATACAGAGGGGCCATCTTGCTCACTTGTATACTTGTAATGTGGAGTTCTATGTGAAAGAAAAAAAAAAAAAAAAAACTTGTAGATATTGATGTCACTACAAGGTCAAGGTCATAGTCTCTAAGTCTTTCATGTTCTGTGACATACTTGGAAATTCTTGGGTCAATTGCTATTTTAAAAAATATATTTTATTTTTTTACAGTAGATGAACATGTGGTATAGCAAAATATAGTAGATGAATGTGTAGCATAGCAAAAAATGGCAAAATTAAGCTCCACACAGCTTAAGTAATTGAACATTACTGATGATCATAAAGATCCACTCATGTACCTCCTGAATCTTATTTCTTCTCTTTTTTAGAGGACAGAATTTCAAATTTTGTCTTAACATTAACTTGCTTTTATATTTAGTTTTGTCAGATACCTATATATTATTTAGCTTTGCATATTTTAATGTTTATGTAAATGAAATAATTATGTACATTTTCCTCTGGATCACATTATTCTCAATCACATTACATATTCAAATGTATCAACATGTGAAAACCTGTGAAGGGTCTGAGATTTTTACCCTACTTTCAAACTGTTGAGCTAGTCTGCTACAATTCTGGCAGAATACATAGGACTCCTGGGTAGATACAAACAGCTGATTACTTCCAGCACAGCAGGCAGCATGACCTGCATGTCCTCATGGGTATACCTTGCTCTGCAATGCCACAGGGGTAATGTGGTGTCATGGCCAGGTAGGTGTGTACACACAATAAGCCTGTGCCACACTAAGGAACCCTGAGCTTAGGATCTCTGATCATTTAAAGGAGGCTTTTAGCAAACCTGTTTCTCTTTGTCCCAGATGCAGACATTATCTTGATATTAAACAAATCTGCCCTCTGACCTAGAAGATGACATTCTATCTTCCAAAGTTGTTTGTTCTATAAACATTGTTGAAGAAAATAGTTCAGAAAAAAATACTTACCCAAGATGTGCAGAAATGCCATGGAGGATTGTTCCCCAACCTTACATGTATGTAGGTACCATTTACTTAATTGTATGGTGAAGTAGTCTTTTGCATGTATACAGCATATTTATGTATTTATTGAGTCATTTTTAAATTACTTATATGATTAAAATACCAGCAAACAAATTTACTGGAAAGAACAGTACATTTGTCTTCAAATTTAAGAGATTATGCTAAGTTAATTTCAAAATTGGTTACACCTTGGGAGGCCGAGGTGGGCACATCACGAGGTCAGGAGATCAAGACCATCCTGGCCAATGTGGTGAAACCCTGTCTCTACTAAAAATATAAAAAATTAGCTGGGTGTGATTGCATGCACCTATAGTTCAGGTCCTCGAGAGGCTGAGACAGGAGAATCGCTTGAACCCGGGAGGCAGAGGTTTCAGTGAGCCGAGATCGCGCCACTGCACTCCAGCCTGGCAACAGAGCAAGACAACATAAAAAAAAAAAAAAAAAAAAAAATTTGGTTTCACCAGTTAACATTTTCACAAACATTATATAAAGATTTCCATTAACTCACATCTTTACCAATTTTTTTTATTGTGTTAAGTTTTAGAATATCTTTTTTTGCAAAACAGTGTCAGTACAAGATCTAATTTTGACTTTGGTTTTCACTTCATTTATTATTTTTTTAAATATTAATTAGATATTTGTATTTTCTTTTCTGTAAGTCCCTTTTTAATATTGCTTGAAGATTTCCTTATGCTTTATATCTTTAATGTGTTGCACTGATTTTAAGGCAATGTTCATGTGTATACATATTCACATATATATGTGCATGTATAGTCATATCTATATATATGATCATTATTTGCTTATATGTGTCACAAATTTCCATCTTAAGAAGATATTAAATTTAGGGTAGTAGATTTATAAATCTGACTAATTTTTTTGTTTAAGAAACTTTTTTCTAGCACAGGTTTCAAAACATTCTATTTTTTCTGTAAAATTTGGCCATTCATTTTTAAATTCTTAAACTACCTGTAACTGCTTTGAGACAAGTCCTCCAATTTTATAATTTTTACATGAATATAAAATTGTCCTGCAACATTTTATTCCATGGTCCTTTCCCTGCTGAATTGCACTGTGTCTTTTATGATATATAATTTATGTTTAAATCTTCCGTTACTCTGATGTTGACCAATATGTCTATCCATATCATTTCAATTATGATAGATTACTGTTGCAGTGTGCAGGCACTAATGTCTCAGTTAAACATCTGTGTGTGTGTGTGTGTGTGTGTGTGAGTGTGTGTGTATTCTTTTCCTGATTTTTAAGCCTGGTCTTCTTCCTCATAGTGGCCCTTGTATCTAGGTAGCTTAGAGATCAGCCAGTGATTAAACAGAGGTTGCACTTAAACACTAACAGCCAATGAAGTCAACCACCTTCTGCAGGTGGATCTGTGGGATTGTCGGGGAGCACATTCATACTTCATTGTTGATCAGGGCTTGACCCTCTCTGAGCTCTTCTTTTGGGTTTGCATAGCCTCAGCTAGGAGTATGTTTGTTCCAGCTAAGACCGTTTCTCAGGTAACTAGAACCAAGACCTTAGGACTCCCCTGCTCCCCGGCTTTACTTTCACAGTGGTGCTAACCATGGGCCTTGCGCAGTACTTCAAGTAAAGAGAGCCTCCTTCTACCATGGAAGAGAAGCTGCTGGCAGCCAGTCTTCAGTCTGTCCTAACTTGGAAGAACTTCAAGGTCAATAGAACTGAAGGGTAGGTATCAGGGTGAGCGCAGGCAAGATGGGAGCAGCCCTAGAGCAGAACACCACAGATTCACACTATTCTTACCTGAAGCTCAGCAATTTGTTTAAAGCTAAACCCTTCATAGGTTGTCATGTATTTGGTCAATTGTGGGTGATATTTTATTTATGTTCCTATGTCTATTAATTCCTTTATTATTATTATTTATTTCTGAGACAAGGTCTGACTCTATCGTCCAGGCTGGAGTTCAGTGGCGTGATCTCAGTTCACTGCCACCTCTGCCTTCTGGGTTCAGCGATGTTCCCACCTCAGCCTTTGGATTAGCTGGGACCACAAGCATGTGCTACCATGCCTGGCTAATTTTTGTGTTTTTAGTAGAGACAGGGGTCTCAGTATGTTACCCAGGCTCGTCTGGAACTCCTGAGCTCGAGCGGTCTGCCCTCCTCAGCCTCCCAAACTTCTGGGAGTACAGGTGTGAGTCTCTGTGCCCGGTCTTATTATTATTATCATCATTATTTTAAATAATGGTAATGGATTCACAATTTTGCTCAGCTTTACAATTGCCTTCTGGGGAAAAGATTTGCAGATCTCACTTGACCACAGACCATAGTCAGCTGCCTTGCCTCTTTCCTTGACTTATGCTTTGTGCTGCTAGGTAGGGAAAAAAATGAATTTATCCTAAAATGTGTTTTAAAAGTAGGTTTTTAATATTTCATTTTAGAAGCACTGCTAATATGGCAATTCTTAAGAACTTTAAAATTTTGGATTTTGTTTTAAAAAGAGTTTTATTCAGGTATAATTGATAATAAAGAACTGCACATATTTAGTGTGTTTAGACATATGTAAACACCTGTGATATTGTTCTAATATAAAAATGATGGTGATATTCATCTTTTGTAGGAAATGTTAAGTTCTCAGACAAACGTTCTCTACAGCCATAACCTTTTCTAGAAATGTTTTGCTGTAAAATGATCCATTAGTTTGGTACATACCCATCATTTTAAATGGAGACTTTTTTTTTAAATGCAACTTTTTGGGACAAACTTGTGGAAGTGTAATAGAATTTCCTGCCAATGCTGGAGAACCTTTCATTTGCAGCAGCATTCTTCTTTTAAATTTCCCTAGTACTTGATTCAAGATCTAGTCAAGTATGTAGTTTTCTAATGATTATTATTGATTTAGTTATATATCTCTTGTCTTTCATTTAGATTCTTTAGCAATTATTCTTTCAATAATAGGGCTACAAGATGCATTGATGGGCATAGTCCTAAAATTAATTTGCTAGCTCTATAAGATCTTGCATGTTGAGGCTCTGTTGACTAATGTGATATATTTATATTACCTGTTTTTTTCTCTAATAATATGAACAAGAAATGTCTTTCTGGAAAATCAGTGTCTCTCTCTTTAGTTCTTATTACTTTACTAAATAAAGTTGAGATAAAATCATTCTGTTGCATGTAAGGCAGGATAAATATTGATTATGAGCATTGTTTTTGTATTTAGACAGACCTAAATCCAAATTCAAATCTGCTCTTTGATCTTGACAAAATTAGAATCTCCCCAAAGTTTAGTTTCTTTTGTAAAATAGTGCTAATACTTTCTATAGGGCTTGCTGTAAGAGTTAAGTGAAATAAGGCTTAGCACTGTTTATAGCAAAAGATAGAGTTTCAACATAATCAGCTTATGATTTCTACAACCAATTCTCTTCCTGAGGGCACTATCTATACCAGAACACAATGTTCTACTCTCAATTTATCACAATCCCTCATCTGCTACTTTAAGAATTGAAATTCATGAATTGGGACCAATACTGGAGTGATTAAGAAATTTGATTTTTTTAAGTTTTTATTTTAGGTTCAAGGGTATATGTGCAGTTTTGCTATATATATATGTAAATTGTGTGTTGAGGGGTCTGCTTTACAGATTATTTCATCACCCAGGTAATAAGCATACTACCCAATAGGTAGTTTTTAGATCTTCACCTAGTGGAAAGAATCCATTAGAATTTTCAATGGGTATGGTCTCTATATCCATGAATTAAGTATAGACAGTATAAGTTGGCAAAAGCCAGTCCTTAATTATTCCCTATGTGGTTTTGTAGTTTTATTTCAGGTTAGAGTCTTATCAACACTGCAATGTGTAGAAACCTTTAACCTAGAATTTTAATTTTTTTCTGGGAGTGCTGTTTACTTATAATCTTATTTGTATTGAAAAGAGAACATAAGACCCTCAAAATGCTACATTAGCCAAAGTGGACCTCTCTTGGACATTCCGAATTTGTTTCTGAAACTTGTGAAAAGATGCTGGAACAGAATCGGTTTGTCTTTGAAATTAGAAGCTATAAATGCAACATAAACCCAAACTGCTTATTGCCATCTTTCTATTCAACACAATAAGTTGACGAATAGAAAGAAAACATACTAAAAATATCCTTATATCCTCAGTTAACGGTGGCTAAAGTTGGTATCCTCTTTTGTTTTTCAGTTACATGAATTCATTGATTTTTGTCTTTTGTGCTTTTCCTTTTATTTAACAAAGTCTTAAATAAAAGAATATTGACTGAAACCTTAATATAACTGCCATTTATCTAACAAGCATTTGTCACTTTGTTAGAATTTGAGGACAGAAAAAAAACTGCACATTATTTTTCCTTAAGGAGCTTACGTATTTATTCAACATAATGACCTTTGTGATTTTGCCAGGATTAGAAAAGTACAACTATTTTCTTTAAAAGGTGTTGATATTTGAGTTTCAGTTACGATGAGATTAGCAAACACAAGAAGCTGAAATACAGATGTATTGATGAATAATCTCTCAAATACCAATGAATTAAAAAATTAAAGATTAATAACAGCAAAAGAAACATAAATCAACTACCAATGGGAAATTGATTTATACTAACAAGTATGCACAATTATTTCTTGCTTCATGTTAGTAGAAAAATCATAATCAAAGGCAAAGCAATTATGAGAGATTAGCTGAGTGGGGAAAATTGTGTAGGGTTAGGACATATGAAATGAAATTCATTATACTGTTATTTCAGATGAATTAGTCTCTCCCCGCTTTTTGTAATCTTGTGCCTTTTTTCTTTCCTTTTCTATGATAAGGTTGTCAAACACATGGAAAAATTATGGATCATAGTGCACCACAGAACACAAGCTGGGCAATAGGCCACAACTCCAAGGACAATTAGATGTTCTTTCCCGAGATCGAAATGAACACTGAGACACACACAGACAGACAGAGTTGTATTCTTTACACGGTGGCTTTGCATCATAAGCATGATGTAAGCTTGGGCTATTTAGAGTGTTAGGCAGGGGATAGAATTACCTCCGCATGGTGGGAACTTGCTAGTTTATGGCAGAAAAAGCGTAGGACCAGGAAAACAGAGACACATTCTTAGTATCATTTGATTGTCTGGATCCAAATATACCTTGAATTTTTCAACTACATGAGTCAATACATTCCCATGTTTGTTTGGACAGTTTAAATTGGGTTTATGCTACTTGAAACTCAAATACAGAAAATGAATGAATCATTTTTTTTTCTCACAGAGCATACAATATGTCCAGGAACAAGTTGAATGAAAGCATTCATTACAAAGGAATACCTTTTGACCTGGAATGTATTTGTATGTTGAATACTCTATAAACTTTTTTAACATGTGCCAGATTATTTAGGATATGTTACCAAAGGGTCCCCAATTCTAATTAGCTGATTAGAAGACTTTGTTAAGTTTTAGTTTTGATTTTGCAAAACAGTTTCCAGAAGGACTGTCTGATTGAGTCATATTTATTTTTAAGGGTTTGAAAACACTATTAGATTAATCTCAGTTCCATGTCACAAAAATCAATGTTTTGGCAGCTCTTTTGCGTCATAAATTGCTTTTCTACATATTATACTAAATAGCCCACATTGCCTTTCAAATCTGGAGAATATACAGCCAAGAACTTTAACAAAATTATTTCATTACCATCACCCATTTGGGAAAAATGAAAAGATAGGCACAAAACCTAAACGTGACTGTTGGGAAAAGTGGACAACAAATTCATCATACAAGATTTTTATTGCTTACCATGTTATTCTGATTTATTGATGTGAGGAATTCCTGTTAAATTATAAATAAGGTAATATTTGAAATAGTGTATACCTAAAAATGTTTGCATAAATTATAAAAACAATAAAAAGTATGTGAATGATGCTCAATCTGCATATCCTTGTAAAATGCTTATTTTTGCCAGTAATAATAAATGAAGATAGATTCCTTCTAAATTAAATTTTGAGGCCCCTGGACTTGGTCCACCATGTAGATGGACTGATCTCATTTGGCCATGTTGATCATCCTTGAAAGGCATCTCCCAGATGGCTCTAAGACAGTAAAACCATTAGAACCAACTCCCGTAGAGCTGTCTGGTACTGATTTTTCTGCTTCACCTGAGACATGAATCAATAACACTTCTTTGACAATCATCACTACTAAAATGGGGTCATGTTGTACTCCAACACTTCCTAGTACAAGTCCGAGATATCATTGTAAAAAGCTATCTCTTAACTCATCACAAGACTTATTTCAGTTAATAAGAAGGGCTTATATGTATGATGCAGCATATCTCTTTGTAGTATAGTTTTTGCTTAGTCAAGAACTTTTGTCGATTGACTTCTAATACCTTTTGGATTTACTGCTACCCAGAAAAAAAATAACAGTCATAGAATAATTAGTTCAAAAAATTAAGAGTTATCAAGGAGCACCAAAAATTCAGAGCAATCAAGGTGCACTTAATGTTATGTATATACAGAGAGCTATATTATATATAATAGATATATGCATAGATTTATGTATCTATATAGAGATATATTATGTATCTACATAGTATCTATACAATGCCTGTATAAATAGGTTTGTATTATATTTATATAATATCTATTATATATAGATGTATATTAGATAATATAATTTTATATATCTATATAAATCTATAAGTATACATCTTATATATCTATATAATGAACCCATTTACAAAGATATATAAAATATTTATTTTATATATATTTATATATAGATATATAAGATTATAGAGTATATATATGAATATAGAAATAACATATCTATATATCTATATGTATCTATTTAGAGATATATATGTAACATATATCAATATATGCTGTATCTATAGATATGTTACATATAGATGTTATATCTATATATTATGTTATATGTTGTACATATATTATAGATATAACATATCTAGATATAATATACAGATATCTAATATAGACAGACATAAAGATATACAGATATATCTATATATAGACACATATATAGATACATAGATAAGTTATACATATATAGGTATATAATGTATCCTATAGGTATATAAGGTATCCATAGGTATATGGATACATATATAGGTATATAAATGTTATATCTATATATGGATACATATATAGGTATATAAATGTTATATCTATATATGGATACATATATAGGTATATAAATGTTATACCTATATATGAACACATATATAGATACAAATATATGTCATATCTATATAGAGACACATATATCCTACATAGAGATATATACTCTACAGCAAGTACTCAATGAGTAGTATCTCTGTAGGTATTTGTTAATAAAATATCATATATGTTATATATCTATATATAGATACATACATCTGTATACATACATATGTGTATATATAATGTATATATAATGTACCTATCTATATAATGTGTATATATACATAAACACATATGTATACATATCCTTATTTACATATGTACATAACTTTATATACTTAAGTATATATATCTAAATAAATAATGTATACATATATACCTGATTTGTATAATATATTTTATGAATATATAGTATATATAATGTACATATAATCTATTATATGTATTTTTAATTTCATGAAATCATAGACATGTATTTCTCTTATTAATAAACCAAAATAGCATCATAGTGATAATATTTTAGTGATCTAGGGAGTGATGAGTAAGAAGCAATGGCTAGACTCAAAACAAAGAACTCAACACAAAGGGTTTTGTGACTAATGAAATTGAGCCATTATGAATTTTGCCTATACTTGTAATTCTTAATATGATTAACAATCAAAACAATTCTTATTATATTAGCATAATTATAATTCTTAATATATTTGCCTTGGTAAGTAGCTCAATATATTTTATTACAAAACCGTACCTTAGTTCTGGTATAAATACAGTTATGATATCTTTGGTGAAGTATTAGAAATTGTTCTATTAGGAAAGGTACTTAATAATCAAAAAGTTATCAATTGTATTATACTTATTTGTTGTTGAAAAAATGCTTAATTTTCTAAAATTAGAGTTTTTATATGTGAAAAGTTATTTGTCCCCAGTCATTTGAAAGACATTAAGTTAGAGCTAGGCAGCTTAAGTTTCTGTATTATTGATTAAATTAAAGTATAATATTACTAGAATAGATGGCATTGCCTTGACACAATTTATATGTATATATACACACACACACACACACATACATATATAATAAAACATAAATAAATAGAAATAACTAAATTTAGAATATTTAATTTTTGGTATTATTAACCATATCTAATGAACTAAGGAGAAAATGAATTGCACAGACACATACAAAGAAACATATATTTAAGTTATTATTTATGCCTAGTATATACCATATATTATTGGTGTATTTCCTTTTATTTTCCATGGGAGAGCTAAAAAATATTAGTGAAATAACAAGAAACAAGCACCTGTGTATTTATATATGTACAATGATTTTTTTCAGTTACCTTTAATTTAAATCAAAGAGTTATATGTACAATGATATTTTTTCAGTTACCTTTAATTTAAATCAAAGAGTTAGTTTTTTAAAGCACCTCACCCTTCACATTTAAACTTTTAAAATGCCTTTTTAGAAGAGATGACAGCTTTTACTATTCTTTTGCAAGTGTCCATTAAAATGTATATTACAAACATTAAAATATATTCAATGCCAAATCTGCAGAATATTAATATTCATATTTTATTATATATGTATTCATTGAAAGCATTGAAATAAGAATGTTAATAATATTTTATGTTTATATGTACACAAATACATATGTCTATTCCAAATACATATGAGCCATTTGTACTTGCAATTTTATATTTTTATATTTTATATTTTATTTTAAATTCCATTTTCTCATTCTATCTTTTGTCTCTTAATAGGTGTAGATATTATATGACTGGTAAGATTGATTAAGTGAAAGGAATATTAGATACATGCAGGCATGCATAAAAAATACATTTGGAAATGATATAATTTATTTCAGGTTTAAAGCCTCTCCAGAACTGAAAATAGTCATAATAGTACTGCTGATAGCTACCTTCCATTTATCTGATGTAATTTAAATCAAAAAGCACACAAGGAATTTTTTAAAAAACAGACCATAGGACAGAAACGTTATACACTAGGGTGTTCTCCATGAAGAAAAAAGGTGCTATTCTTTTACTTATAGTACATCTTTATTAGTTTAGCCTAAAAATAGCCATTGACTTGTTTTTTATTATGTTCAATGTCAAAGTGAACTTTCGATTTTGCAGGTGAAATGAATGGCTGCTTTGCTCAAAAATACTCTGGCAATCAGCCACACATTCTGCCAAACCAGCATGCTGACCACCTACTTGGCTTGAGTCAGATGGCTATTTGGAAAGCTTTTAGTAGTTATCGTTTTATGTGATATAGCTGCCCACTTTTCAGCATGACTCATTTATCATTTTATTCCAAAGAACTGAATTATCTTGTATTTTTTCTTATTATCTTTCTGGAGAGTCTGACAAGACTTTAATGTCAGTATATTTTTTACTAGAAAAGAACATATGCGATATTTTGAAAACCGACTGAACTTGACAGCTTGAGAATTGACACGCAGAATATGTACATTTCTCACATTGCTTTGTAGGATATACGGGTGTTTACTTTTAGGGTCTGGAAACTTAAAGCTTTCTGTATAACACCTCCTGAGACCGTGTTTAAGATTTTTCAAATTAAAAAATACCTATAAGGGCCAGGCGCGGTGACTCACGCCTGTAATCCCAGCACTTTGGGAGGCCTAGACAGGTGGATCACGAAGTCAGGAGTTCAAGGCCACCCTGGCCAACATGGTGAAACCCCATCTCTACTAAAAATACAAAAATTAGCCAGGCATGATCTTGGCGCATGTAATCCCAGCTACTTGGGAAGCTGAGGCAGAAGAATTGCTTGAATCTGGGGAAGTGAAGATTTCAGTGAGCTGAGATCACGCCACTGCACTCCAGCATGGGCGACAGAGCAAGACTCTGTCTCAAAAAAAAAAAAAAAAAAAAAAAATATATATATATATATATACACACACACACACATATATACATATATACACACACACACACACACACATATATATATAGTCCATCTGGAGCGGTTGAATATAGAAAAACCTTGGTAAATAAAGTTGCTTTGGTAAATATAGTTACTATAAGTATTATATAGGCATTCATTTGTAATATATAAAATGTTAAATAAACCCCAATAACTCATTAATGTCTCATGGAAATTTGGAAACTGAAAATGCAAGTATTAACACTAAGGAAACTGTAGTAAGAAAAGGAATGGGGTAAAATTATGGAAACGCACATAGTACCTAGGAGAAATGCCATGGTAATGTAAACTACTCATCAATAGATAACATCTCCCTTTCTGTTACTCTGTCTACTATACACTCACCCTATTTTTCCTCCAACCATTTTACTACTTTACTACATCTTTCTCCCTGATCAAACTCTTGTTACTAGGTTAATTTAATTAGAAAACAGGGGACCTGAGACCACACTCAAAGTCTGGCGCACTACTGCTTCACCAGCACCTGGTACAGGGATCACATTGATGGCGGGCGGGGGGTAATATGGATGAAGAGAAATGACTAATAGATACTAGGAAAATATATTTACTGATTAAAGTAAAGCTAGAGTCAGGGAATCTTCTCCAAGAGATCTGGAGGGCAGAAATCAGAAAAGAATCAGTCACAAGATCTATGTAAGTGAGGACATAGTATCCAGAAGCTCAGGCAGTAGTTCTTCATCCAATTACAGAATAAAAGTTATTTGAAGTCAACATTAGAAATACACCTTGATTTAGCCGGACGTGGTGGCTCAGGCCTGTAATCCCAGCACTTTGGGAGGCCGAGGCGGGCGGATCACGAGGTCAGGGGATCGAGACCATCCTGGCTAACATGGTGAAACCCCGTCTCTACTAAAAATACAAAAATTAGCGGGGTGTGGCGGCGGGTGCCTGTAGTCCCAGCTACTCAGGAGGCTGAGGCAGGAGAATGGCGTGAACCCGGGAGGCGGAGCTTGCAGTGAGCAGAGTTCGCGCCACTGCACTCCAGCCCGGGCGACAGAGCGAGACTCCGTCCCAAAAAAGAAAAAAAAGAAAAGAAAAAGAAATATACCTTGATTTATTTAAAGCACTGAAATAAATGTCAGTTTAATTATCCTTCCCACAACCACTATTGTGAAAGACATTCAACATCAAAGACTTGGCATCTTATGTGTGAAACCAGTAACGTATATTGGAAGAGAAAGTGTATTAAATGGGCAGAAAGGGCCTGCCATTTTGGCTTTTAACCCTAACTTTCCTCCTTACTAGTCATATGACTTTGGATAAATGATTTAGCCTGAGTCTTAATTTAAGCTTTGATAACATGAAGATTGCAATGACTAACTCATAGGGTTGATATGATGTTGAGATAACATATATAAAGTGTTTCATATACTTCCTAGTCCATAACAAGTACTCAATGAGGGACTTCTATTTAGATATTTGTTAATAAAATCCTATCAACTTAATTAATAAAAATGTTAATATGAATCTTACATCTTCTTTTTCTACTCGTTTTCTTGTTTTTGTCAATTGTATTCAAAATATTTTTTCCAAATGTGCATATATAAGGAAAGTTAGGAAAATGAAAAGTTCTACAAACTAATAATGATTGAGGTTTAGGTGAGGGATGAGAAATTACCTATTTGGTACAAAGTACCCTATTTGGGTGATGGTTATACTGAAAGCCCAAACTACATTACTACATTAAATCCACTTAACAAATCTAAATAGGTGCCCCCTAAATCTATAAAAATTAAAAAAGAATTGTAGTTTAACCCAATATTTAAGATCAAGAAATTTTAAATATCCATTTACTAATTTGGGGAATATTGAATTGGACAATTTTATTAACTATAATCATTAATATAAAAATTACTTCCCTGCTATGATGAATCTTTGCGCATCATTGCATGGCAATTCGTAGCAATTTGTTGTAAATGTGAGTCGATGATGATGGTAGAAGTGATTAAAGGATACGTGTTATAAATGCATATGAGTAAATAGTCTAAAATTCAGTAGCTAGAACTTGTTGTAGGAATGTGTGTGATATAGTCATCAATGAGGGCTTTATCAGTGACAGGAGAGATAAATGTAAATGGGAAGAAAACAAAAAAACATAAATGCTAGAGGCTCTCAAACATCACTACTTCTATACATATCAAACAGAACTTTGCAATGTACAGAATATCCAATTTAAGTCAAAATAAGTTTTCTTTAAGCTATTGTTCTAACACTGATGAATTATGAACACTTACAGCATCACGTTGACAGCTAAGATTAGGATTATAACAATATTCAAATGAGAAAGAAATGAGATTCCAAAAGGAATGGCATAAATAAGCTAGAAAATGAAGTTATGATGTTGTGGACATTAGCAAGCCAGGTTTCTCTAGTTATCACTCCTCTTCACATGCTCAGTCCAGAAGTGACTGTTCCTTATGGGAGATTGGGGAAATCACAAACTGGATCCGTATCCTTAGAACTTCAGCTTCTAAATGTATATCTGCCAAATACACATGTGTGCACGTGCACACACACACACATATAAATAAATAAATCAAGTCTTGGACCCACCATACTCTCTAATATGTGAACTTTGAGATAAAATTATTAAAGAAAAGTACATTTTATAAATTCAAGTGAAAAACAGTTTTGTCTTTTTGTTTCTACTCATAAACTACTTCTTGGCAACAACATAAATTAACGCAGATCTCAAAGGTCTTTCCTAATGTCCATATTAATTTCGATACAATGGAAACATTTTACGGAAGATTAAGGAATGCATTTTCAAATAAGTTCTTCAATTACTCTATATTGTTCCTCCCTGCTTGTCAAGAAACAAACTTAGTGAAGACTGCATTTTCTAGTATGTTAGTAGGTGGTCAGGGAGCATAAAATTCCCATGAAGCCATTCTTATAACCATGGCATTGGCAAACTAGCTTCTAGAAGCCATTAAACTTATATCATAAATTTGGTCATTGCAAATCTATATAGGAATTGATGGGACATAGAGACTGAATTATGTATCACAGAACTGCTGAATGGCAAAGAAAGAATGCTCACTCGGATGCACATTTTTATAGAGGAGAAATATATATTTTATGGTACCTATGTATTTTCAATGTTAAGTAACTGAAATTGTCACAGAATATGAATTATTGTATAATATTACCATTCAATAAATGCAAGAGAAGCATTAGAATTCATAATTGTAAATTTATCCACAATTTTTGCTTGAGGAAAAAGGATATGGCAATTTTATAGGTATATATTACGGAAAATACACAAAATATGATAATATTTGCATTGAATAGAACTATTTAAGTGTTTATCATTGAAGTATCAGAAATAAAGCTTGGCTTATAATTATAATCAGCTCAGATCTCAGCTAGTGAGTTTTAGTTAGAAAAAATGTGTATTTAATTGCAGAGGTAAATCCATACATTTAGATCAATATTAAAATTTTAATTAATAGTCTCATAATGCAAATGAGGCTAATGATTCTGTTTTAAAGGTTTGGAAAGTACATATTTCAGAAGAAATCTGTATCTACTTATTATAACAAATATTCTGAATTACAGTGCATATTTTATATTAAATGCTTATAAAGAATTTGAGATCCTGATAAATGAGTTAGCCTGGTGAGCAAGTTTATCACTTCTAGAATGCCTTGAGACTCATAAAATTAATCCCAATCATTCAATATATTTTAATTGTTTATCATTTATGAACATGCCAGGAGACCATTTAGAGAGGATTTATTCTGACAAATAGGAATGTTTGCCCCCAATATATTGTATGAGCACAGTAAGGAATTCCCAAGCCTTCACAAAGAGAACGTTTTTATTAGTAAATTGATACATCTTTAGACTGAGAAAGGGGAAGGTCATTATGAGTGAAATAATTCAGATTCTCAAGGTGCTGATGGGAAAGAAAACACAGTTATTTGACCATTAGATCCTGAAAAATGAGAAAAGTGTTATTTAAAAGAAAAGTATGACTTAGGGCACATCCACATAACATATAGGAGGTGAATTTTAATTAAATTGAGCCGGTCTCTATTGCTGGGGAGACTAAAGGGGACAACTGGAAAAGTCCTTGTTCTGGAAGCAGAGGTAATTTAGTAATATAATCAAAACCTACACTCATCAGATGCTTAAATTAGAGTTATGGCCAAATAATCAATATGTATAAATTGAGTTTCAAGTACGATATGATTCTGTAACACACATTACTGTGTGTAAAAAATTAGTCATTTCTCATGTAATCTTTAACCATTTTTAAAAGTAAAAAGTTTACATAAAAACATAATCTATGATCTCTTTATTATGCTATAGATCTTCTTCTCTCCAAGAACTCTTTTTAAAAATTCAAATAAAAGTAGATCATGAAAGTACTTATGTAATTCGTTGTCTATACAATCAGCTTTAGAGCACAGACCTTCATGTGCCCCATGGGCTTTCTTTGTAAATTTGATCTGGTGGCATGTATTTTTAGCCATTGTGTTATAAAGAGGGAGAAAATTATTTTCTTCTTTTCTTTTTCTTTTACTGGAAATAGGTAATGTAAAACAACAAGAAGCAAATAAAAGGGTAAGAGATATCTTAAAGGAAATAAATTTTAAAAGTATGGATCTGATGGAAATAAATAAGACTGAAAGGGAAAGAGTCTATATGCAATGCCCCTGAGATAGAAGGAAGCTTTGATGTGCAATTTCAGAGATCATGTGGACAGAGTGGTCACAGGACCTCACAGTAAACATCATTTTAGCACCTTTGCACTGTAGTATCCTTCACCTAGAGTCTTCTCTCTTGCCTAGAAAACATTATCTTCCCCTCAAGCAAATGCCAGTTGCTGTAAACTTACCAGTAACTGAAACACATTTTTCTCAGAAATGTTTTCCAGAAAAATTCATGCTGTGAATGGTACACAAATTTTCTAAAAGTAAAAGTTTCATCATAGGTGATTAAATAACAACCTAGTGGCTGTCCGTGAGTATTTTACAAAACATTTATTTAATCTCCTAACACTACGTCAAGGTCTTGGAATAGTGTTGGTTGATGGCACCCAGCTTGTAAAGTTATCTTCAACAAATCTTTAAAATATTATTTCAATTTTGGCTTTTAAAGAGGTTACAACTATTACTTGCTGAAAATAATCTACAAATTGGAGTAGGCTGTAGCTTTATAAAAGTTAGCATAAACAATGATTAAATTATTTTTCACAACTTGATTCCTGTTATTAAAAAAAATACATAGTATCATTCAAGAGTGCAGTGTCTCTCACCGAAGGTTGTGTTCTGTTCTTATTTCCAGAAATATTTTAAAAATATTTACACACATACATGTACACACATCCCCCAATATATACATCTATATGTATGTCTATATATTAACATATATATATATATATTTACACACACACGATACACCAATATACACATGTATTATTTAATTTTATGGATTAGGTCATTCATTTTTATTTACATAAAATGAAATATATATTGTTATAATATAAAATGAAGATATATTATTTTCAGAAAAAAAAATTTCATATTAGCTTTTCTGAAACTTGGAATTAAGATATAATATTGAGAATCTAACATTTCCCTTTCCATGTGATCCAAAAATTACTCTGGGTTATTAAACACTTGTGAAAAGGAAAAGCAGACCAGAGCTTGCAAATTACAGGGATTTTGGAGACAAGAGGAACTTGATTAAAATCATGGTTTACCGCCTAATGTCAGGGTAGATATTATCCTCAGTTTCTTCAACTATACAATTGTAATATACAATAGAAATTGTAATATGTAATCACTTGTGTAAGGGAGTCAGAATACCATACACTTTTGCTGTCTTTCCTCAATTACCACTCTCTTGTCTTCAGAAAAATTGTAACATTTATACCCAGAAGAAGCTAAAAAGTCCCGAGAATAGTCAATAACTCTTCTTTATCTGTTTTAGCTCTGTGTCCCTAATCCACTTTGCCCATTTCTGCTTCTCAGGCTGATTGCATTGTTTCTATGCTTATGGAAGAATGCTCTGTCTAGATCTTCATGCTTTCTAGAAAGATATCCAGCACTAACATTCTTTTTCTTTACAATTGTTATGCTCCAGGCTTCATGCTCTCTAGAAAGATATCCAGCACTAACATTCTTTTTCTTTACAATTGTTATGCTCAAATGTCTTCAGATATCCATGAATTCATTCTATTCTGCACTACTCCCTTGAAGAAAAGTATAATTTTATGTGTCTCTAGAAGAGAAAAAAAATAGGTTCTGTTTAAGACTCTATCTTCTCTAATGTTTTTCCTCTACGATTGTTTTCTCTCACACTATTAATATTCCCTCTTTAAAAGAATTATGCACTAGTAGAGATAGGATTGACCAAATCTATAATTTTCTGCATGATTCACAAAGGTAATGAAAAGTAGTGACACAAAATTTCCAAATAAATGCTTGCTTGATGTCATTCTAAAGGGAGAAAGTATATATACAAATATATATGTATATATATGTGTGTGTGTGTATATATATACACACACATATATGCATACATACATATAAATACACACACAATACATATAGTTTGTAACAAATATCTTGTGAAAGCCTAAGTGACAAGATTGATGTAATAAATTTAAATACATAGATGTATGGCAAGGTTCAAGCATCTTTATTTTACATTTTCATTACAATTACTGGAAAAAAGTTATTGGCAAAATGTTGCTAAATGTATCTTTAAATAGAGTATGAGTACTCTATTTTTACTGAAACATTTGTGCTTCCTTTAATTTTCATAAGCCTCAAGTGTGAGAGGGACAGGCTGGAAAGCTCTGGTGGCAGGTTCTTTGCCACTTGTCTGACTGTAATATGTGGCTAGCAATAAAGCTAATGCTTTCCTCACTCACTGATCACTATTTTCAGAATGACTGAAGCTTTGGATGTGGTACAACATTTAAAGGATGGTATTTCAGATTCATAAATGCTTATTCTGAGAATCTAACAGTTTTTGAAATTACCACTTCTCAGTGCTTGTATAACAGAAGGGAGACACATTTCTCTGTGGGCTACAGCAATCATTTAAATATATGTGTTAAAATAATATATCATATGCATTCATGACACACACACATGTGCATGAACACATACTACAATTGTCAGACACTATTCCAGGGTCCTGTAATATATTTGTGATTAATATAGTTAAATCATATATAGTGACTTAATTAGTTTTTATTTTTTAATAGTTGTTATTTTCATACTGGCACAGGATCCCTGGGGTGTTGCTTCACCAGCCACAATCCTCAGTGGCCAGTGGCACCTTCTGCCTGTGTATTGCTCACACCTGCTGGGCTTGTTCTGCCCACTAAGCCTGGCAGGCTGCACTCAGCTCATACTACCAGCCCAGATCCCACACTAGCCAAGGGTGAGCCAGACATGGAGTGGTGAGGGGTGTGTGGGCAAGTGATTGTGGGGTCTGGCTACTGTGCACAGCCAGACACTGAAGCTGCTGTGGCAGGGTGGTCAGCTCCAGGTGCCAGCACAGGTGCTGGCTTCATGTGAGACTGCAGCTGGACTAGATGTACCACACGTGGCTTCTGCTACAGGCACCCACGTCTGAACGAGGAGAACATGGAAGCTTGGAGACACCAGGAACTCCAGAGCCCCAAAGAGGGTGCCACCACCCTGGCTTGGGGAACCCTTAGGTCTGGGCTCCCAGAGGGGCACAGCTCTTCTCTCCTTCTCATTGCCCAGAGTGTGGCAAGCAGGGGTGGGTTCATGTTTCAACCCTGCTCATGTTACAGCTCTTTCAGTCCTGCCATTTGGCAGGTCCCAAGTTCTTGTCCCGTGTCCAGGAAGAATGACGTATGTGGACAACTGCAGGGTGAACAAGGCAGAGAGGAGCTTCACTGGGCAGCAGAGCAGTTCTCAGGAGACCCACAGTAGGTAGCTCCTTTCTGCAGGCATCTCATCCCAAAGAGTGTCCAGCTCTCAGAGGAGAGGAGACTAGAAGTGAGTACCTCCATCCTGCTACTGGTAGTCCTGATCTGTGTGAGTCTGGCTGGGTTTGGGGTTTTTATGGGCTCAAAAGGGAGGAAGCGCATGCTGATTAGTCCATAGGCAGCTATGAGCAGGTCCAGAAAAAGCACCATAAGTTATGATTCCAGGCTGCAGACTTCCCCCGGAACAGACAGTACAGACCCCAGGCTTCAAGTCATCCCTCGCTTAAAGGTGGGGCTTCACTGGTGACCCACCCCTTTCTGCTCAGGAGCCTATCTCCTGTCACCATCAGTCATGTCATACATGACAACTGGGCTATTCTTGCCAAGAGGCATCTGCAGGCCCACAGTGAGCCACCTTCAGCCCCATCTCAGGCTCTCTCCCATGCTAGGTGCCCAAAGTCCAGAGGAGGCCAAGGTGGCAGGGTCTTGGCATGTCAGCACTGCCCAAACATGCTCACACCTGGTTGTGTTGCAACAGCACCTGGGCTCGACTCCAACTTTGCTCTGAAATTGGAGCAGAAGCTGCATGCAGGGAGAGTCCAGGCAGTGGGAGCAGGCACTTCTGAGCCTGCAGGGACAGGGGACTTCCCAGACCCCTGAAAATGCAGAGATACCCAGGTCTGCAGCAGTGTCTGGGTGGCTGCAGTGGCACCAGGAGTGCAGGGCTCCTGCCCCATTGACTCAGAAAAGGGTGAGGCTTGAGCCTGTTCCAAGCACCTGCAGGCTCCATAGAGTGCACAGCCCTGGCCATGCCCTCCAGATGACTGCTGCCATGCCATCAATACTCAATTCAAAAACACTTATTTTATATTTGAGGACACGAATGCACAAGGACAATAAGGAACTTAAGCCAGTTCAATTGTAGTTGACATCTAAGATTCAGACACAGTTACATTTGACTCTGGAACCTAACAATTAACTGCTATATTATATCACAAACTGTATATTTTGATGAATCAAACTAATCATTAGTTACTTAACCTTTCCTAAGTTTCCTTATGCATGCATTGAGTAAAAAAATGTATATTGCAGAATTGTTAAATCAATGTACAAAAATCACAAGCATTCTTATACACCAACAACAGACAAACAGAGAGCCAAATCATGAGTGAACTCCCATTCACAATTGCTTCAAAGAGAATAAAATACCTAGGAATACAACTTACAAGGGATGTGAAGGACCTCTTCAAGGAAAACTACAAACCACTGCTCAAGGAAATAAAATAGGATACAAACAAATGGAAGAACATTTCATGCTTATGGGTAGGAAGAATCAATATCGTGAAAATGGCCATACTGCCCAAGGTAATTTACAGATTCAATGCCATCCCCATCAAGCTACCAATGACTTTCTTCACAGAATTGGAAAAAACTACTTTAAACTCCATATGGAACCAAAAAAGAGCCTGCATCGCCAAGTCAATCCTAAGCCAAAAGAACAAAGCTGGAGGCATCACACTACCTGACTTCAAACTATACTACAAGGCTACAGTAACCAAAACAGCATGGTACTGGTACCAAAACAGAGATATAGATCAATGGAACAGAGCCCTCAGAAATAACGCCGCATATCTACAACTATCTGATCTTTGACAAACCTGAGAAAAACAAGCAATGGGGAAAGGATTCCCTATTTAATAAATGGTGCTGGGAAAACTGGCTAGCCATATGTAGAAAGCTGAAACTGGATCCCTTCCTTACACCTTATACAAAAATCAATTCAAGGTGGATTAAAGACTTAAATGTTAGACCTAAAACCATAAAAACCCTAGAAGAAAACCTAGGCATTACCATTCAGGACATAGGCATAGGCAAGGACTTCATGTCTAAAACACCAAAAGCAATGGCAACAAAAGCCAAAATTGACAAATGGGATCTAATTAAACTAAAGAGCTTCTGCACAGCAAAAGAAACTACCATCAGAGTGAATAGGCAACCTACAAAATGGGAGAAAATTTTCGCAACCTACTCATCTGACAAAGGGCTAATATCCAGAATCTACAATGAACTCAAACAAATTTACAAGAAAAAAACAAACAACCCCATCAAAAAGTGGCCGAAGGACATGAACAGACACTTATCAAAAGAAGACATTTATGCAGCCAAAAAACACATGAAAAAATGCTCATCATCACTAGCCATCAGAGAAATGCAAATCAAAACCACAATGAGATACCATCTCACACCAGTTAGAATGGCAATCATTAAAAAGTCAGGAAACAACAGGTGCTGGAGAGGATGTGCAGAAATAGGAAGACTTTTACACTGTTGGTGGGACTGTAAAGTAGTTCAACCATTGTGGAAGTCAGTGTGGCGATTCCTCAGGGATCTAGAACTGGAAATACCATTTGACCCAGCCATCCCATTACTGGGTATATACCCAAAGGACTATAAATCATGCTGCTATAAAGACACATGCACATGTATGTTTATTGCGGCATTATTCACAATAGCAAAGACTTGGAACCAACTCAAATGTCCAACAATGATAGACTGGATTAAGAAAATGTGGCACATATACACCATGGAATACTATGCAGCCATAAAAAATGATGAGTTCATGTCCTTTGTAGGGACATGGATGAAATTGGAAATCATCATTCTCAGTAAACTATCACAAGAACAAAAAACCAAACACCGCATATTCTCACTCATAGGTGGGAATTGAACAATGAGATCACATGGACACAGGAAGGGGAATATCACACTCTGAGGACTGTTGGGGGGGGAGGGGGGAGGGATAGCATCGGGAGATATACCTAATGCTAGATGACGAATTAGTGGGTGCAGCGCACCAGCATGGCACATGTATACATATGTAACTAACCTGCACAATGTGCACATGTACCCTAAAACTTAAAGTATAATAAAAAAAAAGAAAAATTGAAATTATATACAAATAAGCTGGCACGATAGACTGTCCAATAAATATAAACCATTAATTTTTCTCTTTGAATTCTAAGCTGCCATCACAGATGGCAAATAGATTTCATCCTGAATGTTAACCCCTGTCATCAGTAGTTGCTGGAATAACCAATCGAGATTTCTTTGTTGGAAAGAGTGTCTTGATAAAGAACTGATGCTTTCTATGATTAGAAGTAAAGTTATTTTCCTTTCCTTTGATAAATACTAAGTTCCCCAAATGTAAAAGTAATTTCTTATTGTATCTTGAATTAACCACTCCCAGCTTTGTGACCTTCAGAAAATTAATGATTTCTCTGTGTCTCCTTTTCATTTCCCTTGTTGAAGGAGAATGAAAAAGTTATCTATTTCTTCTGATGATTATGAAGTCTAAATGAGATTACAGACATAAAATCACAGGTTGAACACATATATTTCATTTCACTATCTCCCAAACTTCAGTAAAATACAGCAAATTAGAAGAACAAGTAGAAGGCAAAAAGAGAATATCAGAAAAGACCATAGCAAATTTTAGAAATTGAATGGCCAAGGGTAAACAGTCATTCATTCAAAATCTATAGCCAATGTAGTTGAAAGTGAAAGGAAAAAAAAGCACATGTACCAAATGAATTCTCTCCTACAAAAGCTTAGATATGAGGAGACTTCAAAAAGTTCATGGATAAAATGGAATTAAAAGATAAAACTTTAAAAGAGAGATAAACTTTATTTCTCAACATAAGAGTCATCAAGCTCAAGACAATACTGTGAGCAATGACACCAGCCATTTAGTGCATCCATATGGACCTAAGGGTCCTAGGAATTTAATAATGTCAATGTAGTCTTTTTTAAATTATTAATTGAAGAAAAAAATGAAACCCTTTACAGATTTTTTAGGACTAGAAAACAAACAGAAATCAGAAAGAGATAATTGCATTGTAAGGTGGATATCTAATGATTTTCCATCAAAACTCTCACAAAATTGCCCTTGCTTGATGAGCCAAATGAGAAGGAGCACTGTCCATTGTCATGGTGGAGGACTCTCTAATGAAGCTTTCCTATGCATTTTTCTGCTAATGCTTTAGCTAAATATCTCTAAACACTATCATAATAAGCAATTGTTATTTTCCTTTGGCATTCCAGAAACTCAACAAGCAAAATGTATTGAGCATTTCAAAAGACTGTTGCCATTACCTTTGCTCTTGATCAGTTCCCTTTTGTTTTTCACTGGGCCACTTCTATCTCTTGGTAGCCACTGCTTTGATTGTGCCTTGTCTTCAGGATTATACTGGTAAAGCCAGGTTTCCTCTCCCGTTACAATTCTTTGAAGAAATGCTTCAAGTTCTTGATTCTACTGGTTTAAAATTTATATTGAAAGCTCTGCTCTCATCTGCAGCTGATGTGGGTACAATGATTTTGGCACCCATTGAGTGGAAAGTTTGCTCAAATTTTCAGTCCCAATTGTGTAAGCTGAACCAGTTCAGATGTCTATGGTATCGGCTATTATTTTTTCTGTTAATTGTAGGCCCTCTTCAATTATGGCATGGATAAGACAATGCTTTTCTCACAAATTGATGTGAATGGTCTGCCATTGAGGAATTCATCTTCAGCTTTTTCTCATTCCATCTTAAAATGAGGTAATCATTTGTAAACTGTTGATTTATTTGGGGAATTGTGCCCATAAACTTATCATAAAGAAATAATTTTACCATCCTCTCACCCAAGCTTCACCATGAATTTCATGTTTGTCCATGCTTCAATTTTAGCAGAATTCATGTTTCTCTGATAGGAGCTCTTTTTCAAACTGATGTCTTATCCTTCTTAGTGGCTCAAACTAAGCCACAGAACATACCTAAGATTCTGTTTAGATATGTTATAATAGGTAAGTATACATTATTTTGGCACAAAATGTAAAAATGCATACACAGTTTTTTTAAAAATAATACACACTTTCCATGACCCTTTTGAAGATACCTCATTTTTTCAGATAGTTCTGCTAGTGGGTGTGAATTGGAAGTAAAAAAATAAAACTAGGGAAAATATATAAAATATTTATTTATTAGCAAGTTTCAGATCACTTCCTTCATTCAGTGCAACTTTAGAAGAGGAGATCACCACGGGAATTAAAACAGGGGATTGCTGAACTGTAGAACACTGAGTTCAGTGGATGGCAGGAAAAATGTATGAAACATAGGTAGACTATGTGAACTGGCATATATTAAATGTTAAAACCTTCAACATTCTTTCCCTACTTGGCTCCTACATCCTGGCAGACAGAAATTTAGTCATCTGAAAGGAGACAGCTCTAATGCATCTGATAATGGATGCACAGTGAAACAATGGAGCCAGTCCATCCTCATTGAAGTGTATGAGAAATAATCTTACTCATAGTTTCCAATGAGATGATTAATGATGAACTCTGACAAATAAGCAGAAAGCAAAGAATCATCAGACACTTGTGCAAAGTGTCTGTCAGGAAAGATATAGAGATACTGTCATGTGTAGGAAAGACACATTTTTGTGGGAAGAAGAAAAAATTCAAAACTATCATTAATATTATTTGAAAGAAAAATGCTACAGATGGAACAAAACTGAGTATTATAAAGGTGAATTATTCAAAGAACAAAATTGCTTTAGAATATTAAAGTATTTTTAAAACTGTGATGAAGCATATGAAAAGATACATGTTCCACTTCCTCATATGTAACCAGGGAAATGCAAATTTTTAAAAAATGAGATACCACCACACACCTATTACAATAGCCAAAATACAGAACGCTGACAATACCAAATAATGGAAAGGATTTGGAGCAATAGGAACTCTAATTTATTGCCAGTTATTTTATTATTTATTAAATAAAAAATTATACAGAAATTTTGGAAGACCATTTTGTGGTTTATTAGAACACAGAATGTATCCCTATCATGTTTTCCAGTAATCGTGTTCCTTGGTATTTACCCAAAGGAGTTAAAAGCATATCCACCTAAGATCCTGCACACTGCTATTCATAGTGGCTTTGTTCATAATTACCAAACTTGGAAGCCACCAAGATGTCTTTCAGTAGGTGAGTGAATAAACAAACTGTGGTACATGCAGACTATGAAATATTATTCAGTGCTAAAAAGAAATGAGCAACCAAGTCATGAAAAGACATGAAGAAACCTCAAATGCGTATTACTAAGTATAAAAAGTCAATCTGAAAAGGCTAAATATTGTATGAGTCCAACGATATGACACTCTGAACAATGCAAAACTATAGAGACAGTAAAAATATTAGGATTAGTGGTTGCCAGGGGGAGGATGTGAGTGGGATAAATAGAATATACAGAATTTTTAGGGCACTGGAAATTCTCTGTATGATACTATAATGTTCAATACATGTCATTTTGCATTGTCCAAACCCACAGAATATGCAGGAAGAGTGAACACTAATGTAAACTATAGAGTCTGGGTGGTAAGGATGTGCCAATTATAGTTTCATCAATTGTAACAAATACAACATTGGCAGAGATGTTGATAACGGCGGGGGGTGCTACTCTGGTGTAGAGGGAAGGAGTATATGGGAAATCTCTGTAGCGTCCTCCAATTTTGCTTTGAACCTACAACTGCTCTAAAAAAGTTTTTTTTAAAAAATCATAGGAAAAAGAAAATAAGACAACAACAAAAACTATAAAGTTTAATAGTTGAGGAAATGTCCTATAAAATAGCGCAAACAAAACACAGAAGTTAAAGGAAATAAAATTCAAAGTCTACGCCAGAAGATATACCTGAATAATATTCCTTGCAAAAAGCAAAACCAGAAGCTGAGTGCTATAAACTATAAAATAATTCAAGAAAATTTCCCAAAATTAAAAATTAGAATATCCAGATTTAAATGAGTCACTCAATACGAAATGTAGAATTCCTTGAATATCTTAATAACCTGAGCATATGGAGAAATTTAAACAATTCATGCCAAGTTTTCAATCAGAGTAGTAATGATTTTACAGAAAAGTGAGAAAAAATAAGTAGGTTTACTTCCAGTGAAAATAATCTATATAAATCACCTATAAATAGCATTTACAAAGTCCTAAAAATATAACTATCTGACATTAATCTTTTAAATGACAATATAATAAAGTCAGGAATTCGATAGGATGGAAAACATGATTATTTTGAAAGGATGATAGAATACAGTGGTACTGACTGGGAGCGCTGGCTCACACCTGTAATCTCAGCATTTAGGGAGGCCAGCGCGGGTGGATCACAGGAGGTCAGGAGATCGAGACCAGCCTGGACAACATGGTGAAATCCCATCTCTACTAAAAATACAAAATCAGCTGGATGTGGTGGCATATGCCTGTAATCCCAGCTACTTGGGAGGCTGAGGTAGGAGAATCACTTGAACCTGGGAGGCGGAGGTTGTGGGGAGCCAAGATTGCACCATTGCACTCCAGCCTGGGCAAAAAGAGCAAAATTCCATCTCAAATAATAGTAAAAATACAGTAGTACATTTTCATATCCTAGTGTTAATTTCATAGCTAAAGCTAAATAATGAAAATCAAGAAGTAGTGATGTAAGTACAAGCATATAACTGTTTTAAAAAAAGATAAGTACTTAGGATGGTTTCAGGGTTGCTGGCATAGACACTCGGGTGGATTGTGATGTTATTCACAGAAGGGGAAACACCAAAGAAAAGGAGCATATTGGGGCTGTGGGAGAGAGGACGTGAAAATGAGGAATGTGATTTAATTGTATTAAGTTTGCAATGCTTCCAGGTAATGCAAGCAGAAATAGAAGCTGTTGAAGTTAACCACTCCATAATAAGTTGTTAAAGTTATAACATATATTTGAGAGTTATCAACATATAGCTTATGATCAAAGCCTGTAGTTGATTTCCAGGGAGGATTTTATGGAAGGAGAAAAGAAGAGAACCTTGGACTGAATGCTGTGAAATAAAGTGTCATAGATATTCTGAAAAGGAGTCTAAAAGAGGTCAGTGGAAAACAAGGCACAAACAATTTCTCAGAGGCCAAAGGAAGTGAGTGATCCAAAAAGCAAGATGTTTTTACTTGGTATTTTGAAAGCAACCTTTTTCACTTTCTACTGTTCATCCGACTGATTATACATTTTCTGATTTTCTGTTCTACTCTTCCTGTGTGATATGACTGAAAGGAAAATAATTTATGTTTTAGTCACCTCTCTGACCTCAGTGCCTAAAACAATGAGGAGTGACAGGAAGATGCAATTAATAAATTAACTGAAGGTTGCTGGGAGCAATGACTCACACCTGTAATCCCAGCACTTTGGGAGGTCGAGGAGGGTGGATCACGAGGTCAGGAGTTCAAGACCAGCCTGGCTGAGATAGTGAAACCCCGTCTCTATTAAAAAGACAAAAATTAGCCTGGCACAGTGGCAGGTGCCTGTAATCCCAGCTACTCGGGAGGCTGAGGCAGGAGAATCGCTTGAACCCAGGAGGTGGAGGTTAGAGTGAGTCAAGATCTCACCACTGCACTCCAGCCTGGGTGACAGAGCAAGACTCTTGTCTCAAAATAAATAAATAAAATAAAATAAATTAAATTAACTGAAGGTTAATCCTATTTTTAACATATTGTGTCTCCACAAATTTGTTAGAAAACCTATAATATGCACAATTGGTTTAATTGTTCAATACTATTAATATTATTCATTAAATATATTTAATATAATTAACTAAAGCTAATGTGGACTCAAGTACTAAGTGCCTTTTGGTTAAAGCTCTCTTCAAAATCTCATTCTTAAAAATGTCCTATAGTTCTACCATCAATTCACCAGGGTAATCAGCACTTTTACCTGTTTTCAAAGTACATTTCTAATGATAAAATGGAAAAAAAATACATAAAGTATTATAAAATATTTAACTTTCAGTTTCAATAAAGGAATCATTACATAAAACTCAAAAGCCCTCAGCTTCCCTATCCTTTGCAACTATTAATCTATTTTCTATCCCTATAATTTTGTCATGTTAAGAATGTTATATAAGTGGAATACTATTATCTGTGATTTTTTGAGATTGACTTTTTTACTCAACATAATAGCCTTGAGATCATCCAAATTTTTGTATGTCAGTAGCTCATTACTTTTTATTGCTGAGTAGTATTCCATGGTATAAATGCACCACAGTTTGTTTAACCATTCACCTATTAAGAGAAATTTTGGTTGTTTCCAGTTTTAGTCTATAATATGTAAAGCTTCTATGAGCAATAAAACTATTGTGTAAAGGTCTTTGTGTGGACAAGAGTCATATTTCTCTGGCCTAAAGGCCTAACAGTGCAATTACTGGGCCATATTGCAAGTGCATGCTTAACTTAAAACTAATTTCCTGGATCTATTCATTTTGATAAATTTTCTTTGAGCACTTGAAACACATGCTACTTTATTCTGTCCCCAAAGGTCTCAAATAAAAATTTCACTGTTACTTAAATTGTTTTTTTCCCCTACGTGAAAGGTATAATTTCTCTCACTAATTTCAGGATTTGTCTTTGTCATTAGTTTCCAGAAGTTTGACTCTGATGTCTTTTGATTTGGGCTTATAGTCCTGCATTATTTACCAATGGGGGCATATTCTGAGAAATGTGTCATTAGGTGATTTCATGATTGTATCAACACCATGGAGTGTACTAACACAAACCTAGACGGTATAGCCTACCACACATCTGGGGTATGTGGTATAGTCCATTGCTCCTCAGCTACAAACTTGTACAACATGTTATTGTACTAAATGCTGTAGGCAACTGTAACACAATGGTAAGTATTTGTGTATGTAAACATAGAAAAGGGAGAGCAAAAATTGATTTTTTAATCTTACGAGGTCATGATTGTATACGTGGTTCGTTGTTGACAAAAACATCTTTACGCTTGACTGTATTTGAGTTTATTCGGCTTGGAATTCATTCAGCTTCTTGAATCTGTGGTTTTATGCTTCTCTGTCAAATTTCCAAAAAAAGTTGTAAGTAATTACCTTTTACTTCATAGTAAACTCCATGAACTATGTTGACACACAGATATAGTGTTTTTTTTCCTAGTAACACAGTGATTGAGTTTCTTCTCATTTTTCTAATTTTTCTCTGTTGTGTATATAATCTTATTGTATCTTCACATTTGTTAATTTTTGCCTTTGTTCTTTACGTTTGTGTTGAGCCCACACAATGAAGATTTTCTTCTTTTTCTTCTTCCAGTAATTATATTTTTCACTTCTAAAATTTCTGTTTGGTTCCTTTTAACATATTTTTTTCTCTGCTGATACTCTGCTTCTTTGATGTGATTTATTGTCTTTCCATTTGTTGCAAGCACATTTATAATTGCTCATTGAAGCATTTTTATAATGGCTGCTTTAAAATCATTGTCAGATAATTCTAATATATGTGTCACCTTATTGTTGGGAGTTATTGATTGTCTTCCCCATTCAAGGTGAGGTCTTTTTTCTTAATATGATGAGTGATTTTAGAGTGTAACCTGAAATTTTGTGTGAATTATTTTATGATGCTCTAGATATTATTGCAATCTTGTGTTTTAAAAGATCTTTCCTAACACTACTCTATTTTTAGGAGGGGGTTGTTCTTTCCTTATTCGCAGGTGAAAGTTCAAGTCCAGGTTTTCCATTTGGCCTCCATTGACCCAAGTTCTGCATTTGGCCTCTACTTGATCTCCATTGACCTAGAGGGGCTTCTTATTAATGCTGGGTGGGATTCAGAATTTAGGTTTGCCCTATTAGGTTTCCACTGATATTATTCTTGCTGTGAGTGAGAAGTGCTCCTTTTTCTTGCTTCCATGTGGCCTCCAATGACACCACAGAGGGGTGATGAATAGTGTTGAAGATACGGAATCTCCACTAGCTACTCTGACACCATCCCACTAAGGAGTAGAAGGTGCATTTTGTTATCATTGGTGAAGATGGCAATGCCATGTACCCACCTGGTCTCCAATGATGTAAAGTGAAGGAGGTCTTTGTACAGAGTAACAAAGTAGCATGAAAATCCTACTCCAAATTGGGCATTTATTGACATTACAGAAATGGCCTCTTAGAAGCCTTGAGAGTAGAAGGCTCCAGGATCTTCACTCATCATTTGCCGGGAAGGGTGGAAGTATGAAGAGCCACAGCTTTATCTGTGGTATTTGGATGGAAATAAATAAATATTATTGGAAAGCTTTCTGACTTGCTAGGCAGGCCCATTCTTAGTCCTTGGGCTAGAGAGAGTAAAATTTTTTAGAGCTTTGTTTTTGTGTGTTCATTGGTATTTTCAGATTGCCAGCTTCTCCAATCTTTACTTTGGCTGGGATATACAGGGCAAAAAGAAAACTCAGAAACCTTACCACTGAATTGTTCTTTAGGTCCCAAGGTCTCCTATAGCTTTCAAAGTCTTATTAAATTTGTTTTACATATAATGCACACGGTTTTAGCTGTATTTAGTAAAAGAAACAGAGAAATATACATCAGTTCTATCTTTCCAGAAGTAGAAGTCTCAAAAAGCTTTTGAATATAGCATTTTATTTTTTTTTAAATTATACTTTAAGTTCTAGGGTACATGAGCACAATGTGCAGTTTGGTACATATGTATACATCTGCCACGTTGGTGTGCTGCACCCATTAACTCGTCATTTACAGTAGGTATATCTCCTAATGTCATGCCTCCCCCCTCCCCCAACCCCATGACAGGCCCCAGTGTGTGACATTCCCCATCATGTGTCCAAGTGTTCTCATTGTTCAATTCCCACCTATGAGTGAGAACATGTGATGTTTGGTTTTCTGTCCTTACGATAGTTTGCTGAGAATGATGGTTTCCAGCTTCATCCATGTCCCTACAAAGGACATGAACTCATACTTTTTTATGGCTGCATAGTATTCCATGGTGTATATGTGCCACATTTTCTTAATCGAGTTTATCATTGATGGACATTTGGGTTTGTTCCAAGTCTTTGATATTGTGAATAGTGCTACAGTAAACATACGTGTGCATGTGTCTTTATAGCAGCATGATTTATAATCCTATGGGTATATACCCAGTAATGGGATGTCTGGGTCAAATGGTATTTCTAGTTCTAGATCCTTGAGGAATCTCCACACTGTCTTCCACAATGGTTGAACTACTTTACAGTCCCACCAACAGTGTAAAAGTCTTCCTATTTCTCCACATCCTCTCCAGCACCTGTTGTTTCCTGACTTTTTAATGATTGCCATTCTAACTGGTGTGAGATGGTATCTCATTCTGGTTTTGATTTGAATTTCTCTGATGGCCAGTGATAATGAGCATTTTTTCATTTGTGTGTTGGCTGCATAAATGTCTTCTTTTGAGAAGTGTCTGTTCATATCCTTCGCCCACTTTTTGATGGGGTTGTTTGATTTTTTTTCTGTAAATTTTTTTAAGTTCTTTGTAGATTCTGGATATTAGCCCTTTGTCAGATGGGTAGATTGCAAAAATTTTCTCCCATTCTGTAGGTTGCCTGTTCATTCTGATGGTAGTTTCTTTTGCTGTGCAGAAGCTCTTTAGTTTAATTAGATCCCATTTGTCAATTTCGGCTTTTGTGGCCATTGCTTTTGGTGTTTCAGACATGAAGTCCTTGCCCATGCCTATGTCCTGAATGGTATTGCCTAGGTTTTCTTCTAGGGTTTTTATGGTTTTAGGTCTAACATGTAAGTCTTTAATCCATCTTGAATTAATTTTTGTATAAGGTGTAAGGAAGGGATCCAGTTTCAGCTTTCTACATATGGCTAGCCAGTTTTCCCAGTACCATTTATTAAATAAGAAATCCTTTCCCCATTGCTTGTTTTTGTCAGGTTTGTTAAAGATCAGATGGTTGTAGATGTGTGGTATTATTTCTGAGGGCTCTGTTCTGTTCCATTGGTCTATATCTCTGTTTTGGTACCAGTACCATGGTGTTTTGGTTATTGTAGCCTTGTAGTATATTTTGAAGTCAGGTAGTGTGATGCCTCCAGCTTTGTTCTTTTGGCTTAGGATTGTCTTGGCAATGCGGGCTCTTTTTTGGTTCCATATGAAGTTTAAAGTAGTTTTTTCCAATTCTGTGAAGAAAGTCATTGGTAGCTTGATGGGGATGGCATTGAATCTATAAATTACCTTGGCAGTATGGCCATTTTCATGATACTGATTCTTCCTATCCATGAGCATGGAATGTTCTTCAATTTTTTTGTGTCCTCTTTTATTTCGTTGAGCAGTGGTTTGTAGTTCTCCTTGAAGAGGTCCTTCCCATCCCTTGTAAGTTGGATTCCTTGTTATTTTATTCTCTTTGAAGCAATTATGAATGGGAGTTCACTCATGAATTGGCTCTCTGTTTGTTTGCTATTGGTGTAGAGGAATACTTGTGATTTTTGCACATTGATTTTGTATCCTGAGACTGCTGAAGTTACTTATCAGCTTAAGGATATTTTGGGCTGAGACAATGGGGTTTTCTAAATATACTATCATGTCATCTGCAAACAGGGACAATTTGACTTCCTCTTTTCCTAATTGAATACCCTTCATTTGTTTCTCCTGCCTGATTGCCCTGGCCAGAACTTCCAACACTATGTTGAATAGGAGGGTGAGAGAGGGCATCCCTGTCTTGTGCCAGTTTTCAAAGGGAATGCTTCCAGTTTTTGCCCATTCAGTATGATATTGGCTGTGGATTTGTCATAAATAGCTCTTACTATTTTGAGATACATCTCTTCAACACTGAATTTATCGAGAATTTTTAGCATGAGGGGCTGTTGAATTTTGTCAAAGGCCTTTTCTGCATCTACTGAGATAATCATGTGGTTTTTGTCTTTGGTTCTGTTTATATGCTGGATTACGTTTATTGATTGGTGTATGTTGAACCAGCCTTGCATCCCAGGGATGAAGCCCACTTGATCATGGTGGATAAGCTTTTTGATGTGCTGATGGATTTGGTTTGCCTGTATTTTATTGAGGATTTTTGAATCGATGTTCATCAGGGATATTGGTCTAAAATTTTCTTTTTTTGTTGTGTCTCTGCCAGGCTTTGGTAGCAGGAAGATGCTGGCCTGATAAAATGAGTTAGGGAGGATTTCCTCTTTTTCTATTGATTGGAATAGTTTCAGAAGGAATGGTAGCAACTCCTCCTTGTACCTCTGGTAGAATTCGGCTGTGAATCCATCTGGTCCTGGACTTTTTTTTGTGGGTAGGCTATTAATTATTGCCTCGATTTCAGAGCCTTTTATTGGTCTATTCACGGATTCAACTTCTTCCTGGTTTAGTCTTGGGAGGATGTATGTGTCGAGGAATTTATCCATTTCTTCTCGATTTTCTAGTTTATTTGCATAGAAGTGTTTATAGTATTCTCTGATGGTAGTTTGTATTTCTGTGGGATTAGTGGTGGTATACCCTTTATCATTTTTTATTGCATCTATTTGATTCTTTTCTCTTTCTTCTTTGTTACTCTTGCTGGCGGCCTATCAATTTTGTTGATCTTTTCAAAAAATCAGCTTCTGGATCCATTGACTTTTTGAAGGGTTTTTTTTTTCTCTATCTCCTTCAGTTCTGCTGTGATCTTAGTTATTTCTTGCCTTCTGCTAGCTTTTGAATGTGTTTGCTCTTGCTTCTCTAGTTCCTTTAATTGTGATGTTAGGGTGTCAATTTTAGATCTTTCCTGCTTTCTCTTGTGGGCATTGAGTGCTATAAATTTCCCTCTACATACTGCTTTAAAGGTGTCACAGAGATTCTGTTATGTTGTGTCCTTGTTCTCCTTAGCTTCAAAGAACATCTTTGTTTCTGCCTTCATTTCGTTATGTACCCAGTAGTCATTCAGGAGCAGGTCATTCAATTTCCATGTAGTTGAGTGGTTTTGAGTGAGTTTCTTAATCCTGAGTTCTAGTTTGATTGCACTGTGGTCTGAGAGACAGTTTGTTATAATTTCTGTTCTTTTACATTTGCGGAGGAGTGCTTTACTTCCAACTATGTGGTCAATTTTGGAATAAATGTGATGCGGTACTGAGAAGAATGTATATTCTGTTGATTTGGGGTGGAGAGTTCTGTAGATGTCTATTAGGTCCGCTTGGTGCTGAGCTGAGTTCAATGCCTGGATATCTTTGTTAACTTTCTGTCTCGTTGATCTGTCTAATGTTGACAGTGGGGTGTTAAAGTCTCCCATTATTATTGTGTGGGAGTCTAAGTCTCTTTGTAGGTCTCTAAGGACTTGCTTTATGAATCTGGGTGCTCCTGTATTGGGTGCATATATATTTAGGATAGTTAGTTCTTGTCGTATTAATCCCTTTATCATTATGTAATGGCCTTCTTTGTCTCTTCTGATCTTTGTTGGTTTAAAGTCTGTTTTATCAGAGACTGGGATTGCAACCCCTGCTTTTTTGTTTTCCATTTGCTTGGTAGATCTTCCTCCATCCCTTTATTTTGAGCCTATGTGTGTCTCTGCATGTGAGATGGGTCTCCTGAATACAGCACACTGATGGTCTTGATTCTTTATCCAACTTGCCAGTCTGTATCTTTTAATTGGAGCATTTAGCCCATATACATTTAAGGTTAATATTGTTATGTGTGAATTTGATCTTCTTATTATGATGTTAGCTGGTTATTTTGCTCATTAGTTGATGCAGTTTCTTCCTAGCATCAGTGGTCTTTACAATTTGGCCTGTTTTTGCAGTGGCTGATACCAGCTGTTCCTTTCCATGTTTAGTGTTTCCTTCAGGAGCTCTTTTAGGGCAGGCCTGGTGGTGACAAAATCTCTCAGCATTTGCTTGTCTGTAAAGGATTTTATTTCTCCTTCACTTATGAAGTTTAGTTTGGCTGGGTATGAAATTCTGGGTTGAAAATTCTTTTCTTTAAGAATGTTGAACATTGGCCCCCACTCTTTTCTGGCTTGTAGAGTTTCTGCCGAGAGATCAGCTGTTAGTCTGATGGGCTTCCCTTTGTGGGTAACCCTACTTTTCTCTCTGTCTGCCCTTAACATTTTTTCCTTCATTTCAACTTTGGTGAATCTGACAATTATGTGTCTTGGAGTTGCTCTTCTCGAGAAGTATCTTTGTGGCATTCTCTGTATTTCCTGAATTTGAATGTTGGCCTGCCTAAGTTGGGGAAGTTCTCCTGGATAATATCCTTCAGAGTGTTTTCCATCTTGGTTCCATTCTCCCCGTCACTTTCAGGTATACCAATGAGACGTAAATTTGGTCTTTTCACATAGTCCCGTATTTCTTGGAGGCTTTGTTTGTTTCTTTTTACTCTTTTTTCTCTAAACTTCTCTTTTTGCTTCATTTCATTCATTTGATTTTCAATCACTGATACCCTTTCTTCCACTTGATCCAATCGGCTACTGAAGCTTGTGCATGAATCACATAGTTCTCGTGCCATGGTTTTCAGCTCCATCAGGTCATTTAAGGTCTTCTCTATGTTGTTCATTCTAGTTAGCCATTCATCTAATCTTTTTTCAAGGTTTTCAGCTTCTTTGCGATGGGTTCGAACATCCTTCTTTAGCTCGGAGAAGTTTGTTTTTACCGATCGTCTGAAGCCTTCTTCTCTCAACTCGTCAAAGTCATTCTCCATCCAGCTTTGTTCTGTTGCTGGTGGGGAGCTGCGTTCCTTTGGAGGAGAAGAGGTGCTCTAATTTTTAGAATTTTCAGCTTTTCTGCTCTGGTTTCTCCCCAACTTTGTGGTTTTATCTACCCTTGGTCTTTGATGATGGTGATATACAGATGGGATTTTGGTATGGATGTATTTTCTGTTTGTTAGTTTTCTTTCTAACAGTCAGGACCTTCAGCTGCTGGTCTGTTGGAGTTTGCTGGAGGTCCACTCCAGACACTGTTTGCCCGGGTTTCACCAGCGGAGGCTGCAGAACAGCAAATGTTGCAGAACAGCAAATGTTCCTGCCTGATTGTTCCTCTGGAAGCTTTGTCTCAGAGGAGTACCTGGCTATGTGAGGTTTCAGTTGGCCCCTACGGGGAGGTGCCTCCCAGTTAGGCTACTCGGGGGTCAGGGACCCACCTGAGGAGGCAGTCTGTCTGTTTTCAGATCTCAAACTCCGTGCTGAGAGTACCACTACTCTCTTCAAAGCTGTTGACAGGGACGTTTAAGTCTGCAGAAGTTTCTGCTGCCTTTTGTTTAGCTATGCCCTGCCCCTAGAAGTGGAGTCTACAAAGGCAGGCAGGCCTCCTTGAGCTGCGGTGGGCTCCACCCAGTTCGAGCTTCCAGGCTGCCTTGTTTACCTACTTAAGCCTCAGCAATGATGGGCACCCCTCCCCCAGCCTCGCTGCCACCTTGCAAATGGATCTGAGACTGCTGTGCTAGCAATGAGCGAGGCCCTCTGGGCGTGGGACCCTCTGAGCCAGTCACGGGATGTAATCTCGTCGTGTGCCATTTGTTAAGACTGTTGGAAAAGTGCAGTGTTAGGGTGAGAGTGACCCAATTTTCCAGATGCAGTCTGTCATGGCTTCCCTAGGTTAGGAAAGGGAATTCCCGACTGCTTGTGCTTCCCGGGTGAGGCAATGCCTCGCCCTACTTCCGCTCATGCTCCATGGGCTGCACCCACTGTCCTGCACCCACTGTCCAATAAGCCCCAGTGAGATGAACCCAGTACCTCAGTTGGAAATGCAGAAATCACCCATCTTCTGCGTCGCTCACGCTGGGAGCTGTAGACTGGAGCTGTTCCTTTCAGCCATCTTGGCAGCAACTTCGCATTTTTTTTTTTTTTAAAGAATAAATGCCTAGTAATACATAATCTTAAAAATTGGACCTTTAAATCAGAGGGAAGACCTCAGTAAGTACCAGCATTGTACATTTATAAACCTTAAAATGCTATCATGGAAAGCATGGATATATCAGTCTTCATTTTAACAGAAAATTGCACTTAATTCAAGATCATTCATCTAATATAAGTGGAAAATATTACTTTTTAAAAATATTTACAGTATTTCCCACTTGTCAAAAAGGTTAGTTTAATCCAAAAGGCATTTTTTAAATTAATAAGTAGTGTTCTGTTCACATCTGTTTTTATTCAATAGTAAAGGCTTTCAGTCTAAGAAACTATTCAAACATATGTTGAATTTAAGCATTTTTAATTGGATCATTCACAACACATTTTCTAAAAATATAGCCCAAAAATATATACTAATTTATCATAAACATGCAAGCCTTAATCTTCTTGGCATATTGTAAAAGGCAGTCATCTCATGAGACATTGTTGTTTTTTCATCTCAATGTTTTTTCTAGTGATAAAGCAAAACTGTGAATTTTTATCTGGCACTGAACTAACAGTGTGAGTCACAGGAGAGGAAAAATTTTAGGTTTTTATGACAGGAAGAGACATGGAATGAATTTGATGACAGAAAATGTTGCAAGAAATACTTGTTAATAATGAGTTTTAAAATTTATTTTTCAATCTTTTTATCTGATACTTATTCCCACATTTGAGGTCCTTACCAAAGTATACAAACATGCAAGCATCAATATAGCAGTGTAATATCAAAAATCTTTATTTCCTAATCAACTACATGATCAGGTTAAGAAAATTCATTTATCTAGCTAAGTCATCCCTAATTACTTGAGGTTATTCGTATTAGATAATCAGGGGTAACTTAGTGAGTGCATAAACTATGTGTTTACAATTTCATTTCATGGTTAATGATGATAAAAATGTAAATGAATCAATACTACATATTGAGTACTTACTTTCTGTCTGTCATATTCAAAGAAATTTACAAATGTTTTACTTTTCTGAACAATTGTATGATCTATGAGTATTACAATCTCATATTACAGATAGAGAAACTGAGATAACAATAATTGCCTAACTTCTTATCTGGCAAAGAATAATCAATTTAATAGGTTATGTAGCCAGAACCTGAACCCAAATAGTCTGACTCAGTATCCCAAGTCTTAACCTCTCTTCTCTAAAGCCTCTTGAAGAACAATGTATGGACAACATTTGTATGGGCTCTAATAATTAAACTTTAAAAATATAAATAAAATAAACTTTCATGCAATAACTAGAGAGTAGGTGACAAAGGAAAATGAATGACTTGACTATTTCTTCACCTTGACAAATTATTACAATATGTGTGATGGCACTCTGTCTTATAATTATTAAAAATTTATTTCATCTCATATTCCTACTGGCTTTCTTTGTTTTGAAGTGTTTGTACTGTAAAGTATGAAAGCTGAAGCAGCTTAAATGATTCAGACCACAGAGAGTAATGTTTTTATTTTAGTCTTTAAAAGGTCACTAAAGCTGAACAGCACTAAATTACATTACTAAAATCACTGTGTCTGTCAACACAACATACTTTCACAGCTGGTTTTCTCAACTGGAGTTAGATTTGCATTTTGGAAATCATATTAAGGTAACGGTAAGGGGTAAATTGGGCTTCTTATTTTGATTGAAAATTTTGGAACACAGGAGTAGTGTTTTTTTTTTAAGTATACTGTTAAAAAATTCCTGTTATAATTATTATAATCTTCAAAATGTTTATTGATTAAAAACAATATGACAAGTTTCAGGTAGTAAAATAATATGTATTTTTCTTATGATTTATAATAAAAATAGTAAATAACAAATAACTTTAAACTTTGATAACAAGTAAACCACAAAAACAGTAAAACCATTTGATAGATTCTTACATGTTCTTTTCTGTAGAGGGAGAAAATATCTTCTGTGTTTCCTTCATTTGCTGATAATCTTTTGCTTAATTCTATACAGAGAGAGTGGCATCCCTATAGTATAACAAATTACAGACAGCCTTATAATTATATAGTGACAGCTATTGGCATTGGAGAAAACTGATTTGCTGCCAATAGAATGTCAAAAAGACTTTACAGTTTTCTTTATTGGAACAACATATTGGCTTTCTTTGCTATTTTAAATTTAAATACTTTCAATCCAATTCCACACTTTCAAAAAATTCTATTTGATTAGAGTTAAATGAGGAGTCCACGAAATCTAAGAACTTATCTAGAACTACATGATGTTGCTCTGCTCCAGGTCACAAACAGAAATCTAACAGAAGTTTCCCATAAACAAGTGGAATTTGAAGTGATATTACTTACATGATATAACTTAAAGAGTGTCAGATACTCTAAATGTGTTATTAAGTGCCTGATCTTAGAGTCCAGCATTTCCACAATTAGACTTGCTACTTGTGGTTAAAACATCTTTAAAAGGAAAGAAACATCACTATAAGAATGTTAATATCACTGAGGTCAGGTGCATCTTAATGGTATGATGGAAAGAACATCCTGAAGTGATGCTAATGAGCAGAGACTCAGCCTGGGTGGCATTAGGCTCTGAGTGATGCACAGGAACACAATATATGATAGGGTTAAAGGTAAATTAGCTGGACATTCATTCACTTTTTTATAGTTGACCTGAGATCGTTTTATAGAACAAGACATCTTTCTTACACACTGACACATTGTTTTGATAATCATAACCAATTGCCATATTTCTCAAGAGATAAATATTAGTTTTTAAATTGGCCAACAAAGCCATGTATTTATATGTTGCTTTTTGAAACGCGACTCTTTGACTGGCTAGGCCATTGAAGAATGGAGAATGATTATTTGATGAGTGACCTATTTCAGTTTCAAAAAGTTATACACTGGGTTTTAAAATTGGAAGTTACATCTCCCCACAGATGTTTACCTGCCAATATTATGATGGTAGATAATTTAGAAATAATGTCTAATCCTGTTGTATTAGGGATCAGGGAGGAGGTACTCAAACCTCTTTATTTTATAAGAAATTTAAGTTGACCTATCATGACTATATCCTTCTTGAAACTCTTCTATTAGTATAACTGGCTGATAATGACATTGACATTAAGATTTGAAAAGATTAAGTGCATCAATGCATTAATAATTACTATGTCAGGGACACAGTAAATGCTTAATAAATGTCAGTTGTTGTTATTAGACTCTTCAACATGTACAGAATTAAAGTTAAATATCTCAAATCATGATAAAAAGTATGAAAATAGAAACATTAGAACTATATTCAAAATCAAAGCTTGATATGAAGCATGAGGTATGAAAACCCTCATAAAGATTATATACTCATTTAAATATTAAATTCATCTATTACTAAACAAATATTTGTGGAAAATTTACTTTGGGAAAGGAAAAAAATTTAAAAAATCTTCATGTTTGTGGAAAAATAAGTGTTTTTCTAATACAAATAACAAATTAACCTGCTTTTATATAAGCAGATTTCTTGCTTATATATATCTAATTAATATAACTAAGTTCTTTGAGTTGTAAACTACTAGAGAAAGCCAGTGATGGAAATATTTATTTTGAAGATGAGAAAAAGTAGTGAAAATTTATATTCCAGTAACAGTTATATTTAAAAATAAAACTATATTTTACTAGAAAGTAACATCAGATAGAGAATAAAACTCTTTTAAAAATGTTTGCACTTACACAAAGTTCTTGCATTAATATTTAACTAAGACTATGTAATAGCTTCTTCACCATCAATGAAAGATAAGAACTTATAGTAATGCATTCATCATGTTTAATTTGATTTCTCTCTCATGCTTATGCAACATTGGCTATATTAAATATGTAAATATGTAACATTAAGTCTTTATTTGCTATGAAAATTGCATAATGAGTGAAATTGACAAAAAGATTAAGTCCATCCATGCTCAAAATTCTTGAAAAAAATATTTTGGTGAGAGAATAATGTCTATACAACAGCTTTATATAATTAAACAGCAAATAATTTTGTTTTAAATCTATTCTTCAACCTCCCAAAATTACAGCCAATAACTAAAAGGAGTTGAAAATTTGAAGCTTGTTGGACCTTTCTGTTGTCCCATGAGAATACTACTAGCTAGGTTTGAAAGTAGGAAAAGTCAGACTATAACACACACACAGACACACACACACACACACACGAATAACATTTAGGAAATTGTTGTGAGAATTAAGATACATAATAATATAAACATTTTGTGAGACAGGACATTAAGCAAAGAGGTAGGAAAAAGCTTCATATTCTAAATGTCTGCCTCTACATGCTAAATATTCAAGCACGCACACTTAGTTGGATCCTAAGTAACAAAAACAGACAAGAGAAAGAATCAACAAAGAAGCAAGTTATTAAAAGCTATAGAATTTTCTAACTGTGAACACATAGGCTGATTTGATAAAGAAAAAATGCATTTCTATTTTTCACTGTAGCTTCCCTTATCTCTTGCCAGAGCATTCACTAATGCCTAGCATTTTCTATACATGTTTGTGAACGCATACTTGTGTGTCCATATTAGTACGTGGCCCACAATACAATGTTGGCCTGATACATGACTCCAAATCTCAGCAAATCCTGTGACATTCTGAGCTCTCAGTTTTAACAGCTAAAAAGATAACTAATGTCACTTTTTGACACACAGAGTTGTTAGCATTTAACACATCTTTTTCTAACTACTTGGAAGAAAGAAGAATCATGGCTTGTCTTTTTTAATGTTTAGAGCTGCAAATCATAAGTATAAGGAACATCTGAGGAAAGAAAATGCTCCTGAGGCTTTTTTACATTGTCAAAAAATGTGTTTATATCTCTTGTTTCTAGTCAAGAAAGCCATCAGATATTTCTTTCTGTACTTTGTAACAAATAGCTCAGCAGCAGTTTAAAAATGCAGTGCATTTGCAAGTGGTGATTCACGTGTACCCCTTTCCAGGAGGATTAAAAAAATCTCAGAAATGTAGTAGATTCTGTAATATTTGCATATTTCAACATTCCTCAGAATAAAAGTAGATTTTAAATTAAAGTAATGGAAGTTAACCAGAGTAAAAGTAAAAGAAAGCAAATCCTTAAACATTTACTTGAATTAAGTCAAATAAAAATAAATAGTAGAATTTTCTTCAAAAATGTTTTATGAAAACATTTTTTTAAAATTTGACATTAAAATACATGTGATTCCGTTGTGCAGTGTGTTCCAAAGGCTAATTATAATAACACATGAGATTTTGCCAAATATAAATATTTAATATAATTGTTTAAAATAATATTCCCTTTACATTGTAATTAATTAATTTTATGCTTTTGAGCCTATAACATTTTAGTTAACTTATTGAAAATACCGATCTATGACTACTGCCATATGTTAATATATACATAACAGATCCTTACATTGTAAATAATAAATATATTTACATTATATATGATTTCTCAGAATTATTCCAGTCATTCAAAAGCATATACATTTCATGAGAAGTGACATAACTGGAACTATATACATAGTATTTTATGTGAAAATGTAGGTTTGCGATGGATAAAATGTAAAACTGCAGAGCTGATCCAGAGCCAGAGAAAAATAGTTAATATTTTTACAGAGACCTATTTTTTCTTTCTGAACATTAAAATACTTTCCTGCTAGATCCCAATTATGGATTTATTCCTTCAGAAAAACCTGGTGCAGAATGAAGCCCTCTTCATATCAGAAAGGTGTGTGCATGTGTCTGTGTTTCCTGCAGTAGCCAGTAGAAGAACTATGGGTTCAGTGAAGGAATCAGAGGCAGAGAAACTTCATGGACACAAAGTAGAAACCGCAGAATTATGCCAGTAACGAGGAAAGCCATTTCTGGTTAATTACTAAGGAGGAGCAGTAACATTAATTTTCATAATGTATTTGAGGAAGCAATTTCCATTAGCAATGCATTAGATAAATACATTTCAATAAAGTAGGCTTCAATCAATGGAGGATTTTCTGTGGTCACTAATAAGAACACTGATAAAAGAAATAAATAACCTGGTGCACATAGGCAGTGAACCGGAGTCTGGCCGTCATAGAAGAGGCTCATCAGAAATTAATATTAGAAGCAAATAAAATGAGTGTATATATATATATATATATATAATGATTTATTCAAAAAAAATCCAATACAGAGGGGTTTTGGAAATTGTTGCCCAGATACTTGTGTGTGTGTGTGTGTTTTAAAGGTTTATAATACTCCATTATATTATATACTCCAGGATATATTCCAGCTCCAGAATCTGGCTGGCAGATGGCCTAATTCCAAAGTGTACCACCAGTAACCAAGTGTCCCTCTCACAGGAAACTTGCTTATCCTGGAAGATATCTCTGTGGCTCTTGTCTGACCGAGGTCCAATATATTCCTACCAAGAAAACCATTCTCTAGGAGAGCTCTGACTAGGAGTAAAGATAGGTTTGGGTGTTACTCAAGTGACTGGCAGAGGAGGCAGAAAGAAAGAAAAAAAAAACATGAAATAACAGAAGCAATTTTTAACTTACAGGTCCCAGAGGGAAGGCAGCATTCCCCACAAGGCCAATAGGAAGAGCGGGGGCCATCCTGGATATGCATGCTCAACCACCAGGTGGGGAGTGAGAGAGAGAAGAACTTCTGTGGTAAAACCTTTACAGGGGTCCAAGGTGAGATACAAGAAGGCTTCCCGTGGTGAGTTCTAATTGGTGAGTCTAGAGCAAGCAGGCAGGAGTTCTATGAAAGTGCTCTGGGGCTGAGGCATCTGTGCAGTCCTAGATTGGTATAGGGATCAGTAGAGTGAGTGATGTCATTTGTATCTAGCTGACCCACAGCGAGATATCACCAGGAGGTGATTGTATAAGGTAGGTATCAGGATCAACCACACTGAGGAAGTGGAAGGAGGCAGAGAACTGAAAACCGTGTCAAGATCAACTAAGCTCTGCTTCTGGCATGAGAAAGTTAAGCCCTATATTCAAAATGGAAGCCAAGGCAACATGAAATTATGGATGCTTCTCAATTTATGACGGGATTATGTCCTGGTAAGTCCATAGTAACTTGAAAACATTCTAAGTCAAAGATGCACTCATTACACCTAAACTTCCAAATTCACTGTACAGTTTCTACTCAAGGTGTATCACTTTTCCACCACCATACATTTGCAAAAATTGTTAATCACACCATTGTATGCCAGAGACTGTACGCATAAGAATTTACTACAGTAAATTTCACCAATAATAATTCAATATCAAATGATCTGAGAGTTGATTGATCCCTTAGAGCTATTTACACAGAAGTCTATACCTGTTTCTTATTAAGTCTTATTAGTATGATGCCATTGATTGAGTAGACTAGTGTAATGCTGTGTATGATGAGCAGCTGCTTCAGGTCTCTTTAAATTATGTCATGACAGAAGACAGGAGAAGTTATGTTATGGGATGAAACTGTGCAAGTATGTTGCTGTCCATTGCAAGTTATTGTGAAGTATTTCTTCTCTGTATTCTGATAAGCATATAAAATAATGCATTTGTCAACATCACTGACTGTGTGTTATCTACTCGAGGCCATGTTAATCTATTATACAAAAGATATCAAATCTCAGACATCAGATGTAATTGGACCTACAATATAGTTGATTTTGCAGTAGTTATCTATTATCTCCCATGATCCTGCTGGGTTTTACAGACCAAACTGTTGAATTACATAAAAACGTGGTGAGGATCACCACCCTTTGGGAATTTAATGGTGGCACTACTTTTTACCATTTTGTCAGGGAGGCAATATTGTATTTAATTTACTATTTTAACTTCAGAGAGGCTGTTTCAGAGGCTTCTATTTCCTTTATCCACTACTTTAGTTCTAACCCTGGTGACCTGAGTCAGTATCTAAGTAATTGGTCACAGATTCATTTTGATGAAGGACTAGGAAAATTATTATACAGACCAAGAATCTCCTTTGGTCAATTTTTTTCTGAGACCAAAAATTGGTTCAATCTGAAAACAGAGTAAGTAATCCAAACTTTTCCTGGAGGAAATTTCCCTAAGTTTCCTGATCAGCCATCCTTGACTTCATTTTATCAACTGAGTGGTACTACTCTTTTTTTTAGCTGATCATATATTTTGTTCCTATGGGCCATGAGTTCTTACCCATCTTCACAACTATCTTTGTGTCAAGCTTCCTTGGATGTCACTCTGATCTTGCCTCTCATTACAACAATTGTATCTACTTTGACTGTAATGTGTAAGTGCCACTATCTGCCTTCTATTATTTCAGAATTTTCTCATTCACACTGCTATGAGTGATTCCACTAATAGAACAGCATCTCATACATTCAGTCCTGGAATACTAGAGCAAAGCCTCCACTGAACTTGTGAGTGTTCCTTTCTCACCAGTACATTCTTTGGGATCACTTGTAAAATATAAAACTGGTAGGATTCTGCTTTATGTAGTATATTTACTCTAGAATGTCCAATTCTTTGAGCCTTTTAATCTTCCCTTCCCCTGTCTTTTATTACGTTTCTATTCTATCATATGTGCTTTATTTAGTATGTCTTCACTTTTTCCATGCTTCTTCCTAGAATCATGTTCAGGCAATTTATTGGGGTCTTTGAAGGGACAGTCAATAATTTTTTGATGCCAAAATAATTCTTCCAAATTGATATCATTTCCCTTATCCAACTCTTTCTTCTATATCTCCCTGATCCATCTTCCTCACAATCTACTCCTATGTGTATTTTGCTGACTCATGTTAGCATACATCGTCTAGCTCTGCAGGTGCTTTAGGCTGTGGTGACTTTTTCTCTTCTCAGGCTCTGTATGTCTTTCCAGTTTATTTGCTGAATAAATGGATAAATAAATAGTTTTTACTAGTATGGTTTTGGGCAAAACTTATTCTTTCTAGCTAGAATAAAATACATGTTAAAAATCTCAATGCAACCTTTGCAATGTGTATGTGTCTGTGTATGTGGTGTGTGTGTGTGTGTGTGTGTGTGTGTGTGTGCATCTCCTTTCCTTAATGTTCTGGAATTTTGTATACAAGCTTACATTTGAAATGTCCATACCTCTCAACAGAAGTTCTAGGTACTTATCTTGATCTGACAATCAGACATGTTTGCTCATTCCACTTCAGTTTAAAAATGAATGTATTAGTTGCTAAAATTAAAGATATTGGAGATATCACAAACACACCTACATGTTTTCTCCTTGCAAAGTAGACAATGTGGTAACACAACGGCCATACTTCTCCATGGCAACAATTGCTAAAGAAAGTTTTAACCTTTTCCTTTGCAACATTACCAGTCAACCCACTGCATTCATTTATTTCACTTGCCTTGTCTCTGTTTTGTTTGTGGCTGTGCTTTCATCATGAAATTCATTTTTGTAATATTTTTTCTTTATATTTGCTATGTCATGAATCCCACTTTTATTTATCTAAAAGCATTTCTCTCCTTACGTTGTTTATTTTAGTAGTTTGTTTAGAAACTTTCTAAATCGATTTTGTCTTATAATTAAAATGTTCAAAAAATGAATATATATGCTCTTGTATTATCTATTAACTGCTTTCCAGTATTTAATTCTTCATATGAAAAATTTATTATTTTTTCCACAACTAGTGTATTTAAAATACAAACTTTTTCAGGGGTGACAGGAAGGTGGGAACATAGGCAGCAAAGCCTTAGAATCACCTTCTGTTTAAATTTGACTTTAAAACTATTAATAATACACATAATTCTGCAAAAAATTAATTCATCTAAGATCAAGTAATAGTGGCAATTCTCCCCAGTAGGAGAATAATTTTTATTATAGAATAAGTATGATTTTGTTCACATAGATACAGTTATACTTAAACTATTTTTTAAAATAATGTTTAAATACACATCATTCCACATATTTCAAAGAACTGATCCTATAAATTAGGCTTTGATCCATACTGGCCCCCTAATAATATTTACAACTTCCAAATTAGAAGGCAACAGTTAAAATATATTTTATAAATAAATAAAATATCAAAAAGGATAACCTCATAATTAGTAACATAGATATCATGCCCAGCTTAATTAAAGATTTTAATATAATTGAAGTTATATGAAAATGAATGCTAGTTGGTTTGTTCAAATAAGGAAAACAACTGTTTTGGGAATTTCCAAGAAACCCCATGTTCAGTAATTTGCTAGAATGACTCACAGGACTAAGTATATTGTTGTACTCATGATGATGATTTATTACCGAAAAAGGTTATGGAGCCAAATAAACAAAGGAAAAATGCACGTGGGCAAAGTCAGAAGAAAACCAGGAGCAAGTTTCCAAGTGTCCTCTCCGCAAGGAGTCACACAAAATGTGCTTAATTTCATCAAGAATGGAATTGAAGCATTTCAGGGAGGCTTATTACTCAGTGCCCAAGGATTTTACTGGGGGCCAGTCATGTAAATGCAGTCTACATACCACTTACCCAAATTCAAGACACCCAAGAAGGAAAACAAGTGTTCAGCATAAACCAAATTGCTTGCACAAACAGTTTAGGCACAGTGAGACACTCTTATCAGTTAGGAAATGGTGGGAACCCCACCAAAATCCGACTTCCCAGTCAGCAAAGGCAACCTTGCAAGCATGACGTTTTAAGAACAGCAGTCTCAGGCCTGCCACATAAATTATTTTATGCACAATAATCTTTTAGAACTGGCTTCTATAATCATTTAAATTGTTGTTTAAAATGTGGTGCTATCTGTGACAATTTGAGGTTCGTTTTCTTAAAAACCTTTACTGCACATAAAACATTGATTGTAAGTCACCCATCAGAGAAGCAAGAATGTAAAGAGCATGTTTCTACAGCATTTAAATAATTGCTTAGTGTTGATTGCTTGGTATTTAACCTAAGGTTTCAAGAAATTAAATATTTCTTCTTTCTTGCAGCTTTCTTTTAAATTGCTAAACATGAACATTCTCCCTGTGGCATGAATAACGCATTTCTAATCTCATATGTTATAGAAGTCTTTTTAGAGAAAAAAAAAAAGAGCACTTGAAGGTTCACTTATATCTGATAGCAGTCAACAGTGCAGGTGTGGGCAATAGACTAGTACATCTCTCATTGTGAGATAGCCTCTCCATTTTCTTACACAGTTGAAAACCTGTTTTTCATCATTCATGTGCATACCTCTGAAGCAAAGGAGTCATTTCTCCTTTTCTGTGGAGATGAGTATACTATTACCACCACACGCACCAGTAATAGCAACTTAACTGTTTTAATCATTACACGGAAATCAATACCACTGCTCTTCAGGCTGTGGCTATGCTCCCGACAGATTATACATAAGAGATTTATTAAAAAGACGGTAACGATCAAGAGAATCAAAGAGAATGAAACTATTGCTTCTGTTTGAGGAAATCAGCATCATTGTGGAGCTATCATTAAGATTATTATTATTATTATTTTATTTAGGTCATCTATTTTGGCAGATATATTGCATGGCGTGTGGATGTGAGTGTAGGTATAGTAAATCTTACTGGGATTCTTAAATTTTTATTGCTCCTTCTGAAGAGCCATTTTAATTGTTCTTTCCTCTATGTTTCTCATATATTTTAATGTAAACATTAAAAATGAATCATGGACAGGTAATATAATTTATGAGTATTTTAATATATTTATTTTTTATAACTACATATATACAACTCTCTATAACAAATTATAATTATTTAGTATGTTGGCTTCTACTTGGTGAGTATATTTTTATGTCAAATCAGAATGTAGTTCATTCAAGTATGATAATTTAATTATCCAGGAAAGAGCAATTAAAATAGAATCACACTGTTTGAAATGATCAAGCTTATTCTAAACTAATATACAGTCTGAAAAAGTTCATATCAGTTGAAGGCTTTTAGGACATAAAGAGAACAATAAATTGTGAAATCTGTTAAAGAATCTGTTTGGAAGAAAAACTAAAATAAAATAATGAAACTTACTCTTTGAAACGGTTATCTTTTGAGTGACATGAAAACCTACATAATAAAGATATTTTACATTATCTTTAATCATATAAGAAAGTGGCAGATGAATTTAAATTTAAGAAATTTTTCCATTTAGCAGACACTCAATCAAGTGGAAATCAAACTCCTGCACAGTCAAATAGAGATTATACATGATGAGTAACTAACAAATATTTACTACATTACCAAAAAATGCTAAATAGTTCATAAGACAGCCTTTTTTCCTATTCGGTAATTTAATTTGTGAAAGTTTTCATAGTCCAATTTCTTTCCCCCAAAAATAATTAAGGTAAAGTAATTAAACTATATTAAATCTTTTTTTGTCACTGTTATAATATCTCTTACATTTTTATCCATCTGTCATTTTCAATAGGGTTTTTAAGTCCATTATCTCATTTGATCATCACCACTGTAAGGAACTCCAGGAAGACATTGTTATGCATATTTTAGAGCAAAAAAAAAAAAAACTGAAGAGTTGATAGGCCAGAAGAAGTTTTGATAGGCTAAAAATCACATTTACCATTATAAGGCAACAGGCAGTACCAAGAATAGAGGTCAAGTTTTTAGCCCTATAGATAAGAGTTATTTCCTTGTAATCATTAGTTTTAAGTGGTATTGATTTGGTCATGTTGGGGGTGTTTGTGTGTGTGTGTGTGTGTGTGTGTGTGTGTGTGTATAAAGCACAGATTCAATTAATAGAAACTGTATATATTTTAAAATTTTTAAATTTTCTTTGAAAAATTCTACACTGATTCTTTCCTCATGGCTTCTAAATAAAAAGTCACTTGTGCTCACTGACCTATCAAGTTGGTGATAAAATATTGCTTATGTATTCTATATATATAAGTCATATATGTGCTACATACTTACATGTTTAACTAAATAATTTTGGCAACTTGATATAATTTTTTTTTCCTTTGTAAGGTGCTGTATTAGTCTGCTAGGACTGCCATAACAAAATACTGCAGACTGGGTTGCTTAAAAAACAGTAAATTGTTTCTCACATTTCTGGAGGTTAGAAGTCCAAGACTAAAGTGTTAGATTTGATTTCTCCTAAAGGCAGCTCCCATTGGCTTACAAAAGTTTGCCTTCTTGCAGTGTCTTCACATGGTCTTTCTTCTCTATGTGTGCATCCTATGTGTCTCTTCTTTGTCTTAAAAGGACAGCAGTCTTATTAGTTTGGGGATTCATCCTTATACCTCTATAAGCTCCATGTCCTAATACAATCACATTGACAATTAGGACTTCAGCATATGAATTTTTTGGGAGGACACAATTCAGTCCACAAGAGGTGTATGATCTGACAAATGGTTTCATTCCTGGCACTTATTTCCTAAAATAAAAGAGATTAAAGGTAGGCCATGATTTGACTTTTTGTTTTCTAGAAATAAATAATTATATTTAGTAAATTAAGGATAATAAACAGAAATTATAGAAATGTGTTTTATTAGTCTTCATAAATTTAACCATTTCATAAGATTATTGATTAACATGCATTTCAAGTCATTATTTCTGACTTCTATAAATACTAGTTCATATAATTGCATGAGGTAAACAAATCTTAGAATTAGCTTCTGATTATTATTTTTAGTTTCCTGGGCCATCATTCAACAAAACCTTTTTGTAATATCCTATCCTCCCTGGACCTATTTCCTATGTATTTTGATGACTCCTAAAGAGTGGGCTAACCTGCTTTCTTTGCACATTGATCTCTCTGAGCACCATATATGAGTAATATCTTATTTTCATGTAGAATTCTCACAAAATTTGTCTCTGTACTTTGGTACTTCTCATATGACAGAAAAATGAAATTAGTTGCTTCACAAAATTGCGGTATCCCATTGTCTCTCAACTTCTTAGAAGATTATACTAATTTATTATTCTCTGGCCTATATCTTCAAAATCTAGTTACAGAATTACTCCTTTCTGCTAACACTGAAACATGCTCAATCTCTCTTGTATTAAAAATCAACAACAAAGTAACCCCTGCCACCAACAAAACAAAATAATTCCAAAGTATTCTTATGTTAAAAGGGATAACTGAGGCAGAGAAAGATAGGTTTCCTGCCAAAGTTATCACAGTTAGTAATCAACCAGGTAAACAGACTTCAGAGCTTTTGCTTTTGCTTTAATGACTAGCAATATTTTTGACTTTTCACCTGCGTTGTTACCACTATCCCACCTTCTGCAACCACTCTTGTCTTTTGGTATCTGAAGACACAGTGACATGACTGACTGTCTTTACTTTCTGTTTAATTCCCCCCATAATTTTCTGGAGGGACCCAACTAGGATCTAACATATGTCCACTAGTGTCTTCCTTTTCTATCTGATTCTCAATTGACCATAGCTGCTATCTGGGGTCAGGATTTCTTCTAGCAGTAGTGAGACTTTTTGCATACCAGAACAAGATATCGTCCTTTGGGCAGTGCCAGCCCTCTGTACAGACTCCCACACACTGGATTTTGGCCTCCAGTACCCCCCTTAGCTGGTAGTCTCTGTTCAGTGCTCAAAGTATACAAGTCTATATGGCTTAAAAGTGTAAATAGTAGCACCACCCCAATGTCAATGACTTTTGAGAATTATACTCATGCCAAATTCCTGGTAACACCATAACATTCCATAATCTCCAGATGCAGATTTGGAGGTATAGAATTCAAAAGGGTTTGATGCAATAAGGGGAATGGCTTTTATCCTCTGTGTTTTGGCAGGTGAAATTCAAAGATGGGACCATGCTACAAGTCTAAAATTGCTCGTATTAAGTATTTTTGTTACTTAGGCATGTCTTATATCCAATAACGAGTTTACCCCAGGCCAATGCAATATGGACAATAAATACCAGTATAAAATTATTTCTTCTCCACTCTTTCTCAAGCCCTCTCTATTACCCCAAATTCTTCTTTCTCTCTGTAATATCATCATCAACTACAGCTAGGATGCACTCCTGAAAACAAAAAAAAATCCATATTTTGTGCTCCTTGTTGTATTTTTGAAATATTAACTCTTGTTGAGAGACATGCTCCAAAAGTGTATTCAAGCTTTCTATATGTTTTTGAGTAAAACTCTAGGTTATCTGGTAATATCTGTACAACAATTCTCTACCAGATCTTATTTTAATTCAAAAACTATGAATTATTTTTATGATGCCTTTACAACCTGAACATATAAATGTCTACCTATGAGTCATGATAACAAAGGACGTTCTATCCACTCTACTAAGCACAACTAGCTTGTATTAATTCAGATTTACAGGAGAGGAAACTGAATTTTTCTTTACTTTCTTTTTAATATACTGAGCACCAATATTTCTTCAAGCTTCAGTAAATGACCATTGAATATTTAGATGCCATTGAGAGAAAAACTTTTTAAAATGAGAAAGATTCAATGGGCATTTTCTTGCAAGTTGTTCTTAAAAGTCATATCCTGAAGAGTAACCTGCCCTCTTAGGTAGAAAACTCTACATGAGAAACCATCAAAAAATTGAGTCAATTATGCTATTCAATTTTATTCTTATATAACAAGTCTTTCTAGGGGATAAGTAACCTTTATTTGTCCTCACAGATTGAGCTATTAGTTTGAATAATGTACCTCTTCACATTTTATTTCTTTCTTTCATGACTCTGTATGGCAGCCTCTTTGTTATTCTCATGAAGCTTTCTTGAAAAGCTTGATTAAAAAAAACAATGCAAATATTTGTGATAATAGAGCTACTGGTGGTTTGTCCTTTAGTCTAACATTTCAAAAAATACTTTTTAGAAAGTAAGACATTTTCATAGATAACTAAATTTAAAAATCTCTTGATGTTGTGGTGTTTTTTTCTGTTTCGTTTTTTGTCCAATTTGTTTTGTGCAATGCCATTTTCATATCTAGTATAGGTTATGAGGGCATAGATCTTAAAACCAGACTATACCTGACTATATAGGAGTTTATACAAGTAAGGTGCCCAGAAGACTTTTTGGCACATTATAAACACTAGTTAAGAATCAATTACTAGTTGCATAGTAGTATTATTCTAACCAGAGCACATTAGTGTTTGAAGTCATAATAATTACACACGCGTGTTTCTGTGTGTGTGTGTTATATAAGCCATAGGATGTGAGAAATACCAAATAAAGCATTCTTATTATTATCTTCATTAAATACTCAGTCACTTTATATAAGACTGATTATTTGCCTATAAGTCACATAATTTTTTATTAAAAACATAATTTTCGTGCTTG